>NC_000010.11:82112792-82264307 GCF_000001405.40 Homo sapiens
TCGTGACCATGCTTTGTTTGCAATGGATATGTATTTCAGTGATATCACAGCCTCCTGAGAGAAGGCACAGTGCTCAGACAAGCTGTAATGGCTATTCTGTGTGGTTTCATGTGGCCATGCCTAGTATAGGTTGTGCCCCATGGTTGATGAAATAAGATGCCTAGCTCATCTTCTCCCCCACACTGCTCCTGGTCTTCCTGCATGCTGGCCTCAGTGTATTGTTTTCTGAAACAAATCATTTCTTGATTTGCTTATATTTACCAAGATTTTGACAGAATTGAAGACAGTTGGAGGAACTTGGGATAATAGTAATGTAGGGATTGTAAGGCATTCGGGAAAATAAATAGCAACAGCAAATACTTTTATGCTCCAGGCAGTGGGCTAAATGCTTTTCATGTGTTATCTCATTTAATCCCCACAACAACCCTATGGAGATGGGAACTGTTTTACAGGTGAGAAAACTAAGGGCAGAAATGTCAAATTGTCCAACATCACTGAGTTGTTCAGTGATAAAACTGTGATGCCAGCCGTTGTCCTATGGTCCCAGAGCCCCCGCTCCTGATCACTATGCAGTGCCACCACGTAGCTTTTCGCTGATGGAGACCATGCCAAACATGAATTCTAACTGTGTGTTCAGAGATGGTGTTCAGCAATTTTAATGTGATTAGATGCAACCGTGTGATACTGCTGATATCTGACTATTTTTACATAAAAAGATGTGGTGATTTGGGTTATGAAAAACTGAGAGACTGAGGAAATGACAACAATTGCAAGCAACTGAGAAGACCTGCTGAATCGATGCAACATGATACATTGGATTGGACCCTGGAACAGATAAAAGACATCAGTGAAAATACTGGTGACATCTGAATAAGGTCTATAGTTTAGCTCATAGTGGTGAACCAATGTAAATTTCCTGGTTTTGATAATTGCACTAGGTAAGATGTTAATTTTAGGGGAAGCAAGGTGAAGGGTATGTGAAAATACTCTGCAGTATATTTGCAACTTTTCTGTAAATCTAGAATTATTGCAAAATACAGTTCTATTTAGAAAGTCAAATCAACAGATAATTTCATGTGGTTTAACCTTAATTATATATTTACAAAGATCTTAAATATTTGTAACAATCACTTCTTATTTAATTATAGAAACATGTATGCTTTCTTTAATTATCATCCTGTAACCACCAGCCTTCTCCCTACTCCCCAGCTCTAGGCAACCACTAATCTACTTTGTCTGTCTATCAGTCTCCCTGCTCTGGACGTTTTACATGAATGGAATTCTGTAATATGTGGTCTTTTGTGACTGACATCTTTGATTTAGCGTAATGTTTTCAAGGATCATTCGTCTATCATCACTTTGTTCCTTTTTATGGACAAACAATATTCCATTGCATAGATATACCCCATTTTGTTCATTCATCTCTTAGGTGATGCATATTTGAGTTGTTCACACCTTTTGGCTATTATGAATAATGCTACTGTAACATTAGTGTGCCAATTTCTTTGTGGGAAAATATTTTCATTTCTTTTAGATATATACTTAGTTTTAATTCAATTACTTCTAACTCGACCCCGGAGGAAAGTCTCTTGGAGAGAAGGAATAAAAGAACCTGAACGTGCTAAAAAATTCAAATTATTTTCAGAGATTACTACCTCTGTGAGTCTCAGTTTATTAGCATCCTTTATAGATAAGCTGTGCCTGTAAGAAAAGAGGGGTAGTAAACAAACACGTATACACACACATGCTTGCACAAGCATGTCGTCAAAAGTGTCTCCTTCAAAGAAGACTTCTGGAGAAAAAAAGCATAAACCTTCTCAAGCTATTGCCATTGTTCGGGAAATTGGGTAATTCATCTTTAGGAATTTCTTCTGACTGATATTTGGTCATACTAGAAAAACTGACCATTTCTAACAGCTTTTGCCCCTGCTTAAACAAGATTGCTTCTGGCCATCTCTAAAAATTAAATTTCCCCTGGAAACTGTTCTTTCATGATGTGTTTTTGGAATATTGGCTGTGGTTAGGAGGGTAAGCTCCTCAAGGGCCAAGCCTGTTTCCTCCTTTCTGGCAGAGCACCTTCATACAACGCAAGTACTCAACGTGTTTGCTAAACTGACATCAATTGAAATCATTGAATCATAGCACTTTTTTGGAGGACGTGTCTGTCTTCTCAATCGCTCAGTTTTCTTTTGGAAAAAGGCAGGTTATAGAGCAATTCATTAATCATTTGCTGTCCCAATGTTCCTTCCTGCTTTTAATAGCAAAAATGAGTCAAGACCTGATCTTCTGAACACATCACTTGCTGCCTACATGAGGCAGTGGAGACTTAGAGTACCCCTGTGGCCTGCTCCTCCTACATCTCTTCTTTTGATCCCTAGTCCTTGCTGACCTTCTGTAGAGGCTTATTCACCCAGCTTGTGGGTTGAGGTGATGCTTTCTTCCTATTTACTGAGAGCTTCCCCACCTCTCCCTAGATACTGCATAAATGCAAGGAAATTTCCAAGAGGCCCCTTCAAGTATAACCACAGCTTTTCAATCATTTGACATTTTGGTCATAGAGCAGAACCAAATTATGTAGTCAACTATAGACACCATGCCTGATTGAAACTTGTATCAAAAATCCCAAGAACTCCAATAACTCTTAGTTTTACTTTGTACTGTTTTTAAGGAGGCTGATTTACAGCAGCCTTTTTTCTGAATTTTATTTGAGGAAAAATATGCCCTCCTGCCATCATTCCAGCTCCTGTGACACTGAGGCCTTTGGTTCCCTTACTTATATCAGGGTATCTGGGGCTTGGTTGTTAATTTGGTGTAATGTGATTAATTGAGACAGGCATACACTCAGGCCTAAAAGATAATCAAATCCAGAAGGGGAAACTGAGGTCCTGAAAGGGAAAAATGGGCATTTACACTAGAGTCAAAAGTGGATATCAGGGGTTTGGTCCTGTTATAGAAAAGTTCTTTTTCTGACATTTCTTGATGTTCTATCTAGCCTAGTGGACTAGCACTAAGTACTGGGTGACTGCTCAGTAAATGCCTCTGGTGGGCAGATGGCACAGAAGTGCTTAGGGGATGTTCTGCCTCATACAGAGCATCCAACTCTCCTACATGGATGGAGACTCACATGATCCTGGTCCCTGCAGAGAAAATCTGTGCATTTACCACAACTTTGACTCCTAAGAAGCTCTGACTTTTTGACTAAAGTCAATGGGGGTATTTTGTCAGCAGGCACCTTTAACCAGGCTACACTTACAAATTCTTGTAAATCAAATTTTGTACAAGTAGATACTTTTATAACCCATCATATTTTAACCTCAACAAAGTGGATTCTTTACATCCAGAAATGAAACAATAATGACTACATTATTCCAAAAAAAATTTTTTTAGTAGTTAGATCCAGGTGGATTTGATGGCCTGATTTTGTCCCTTATACTTTGATATATAGTATCCCTTTATTTATTTACCACAAGAAAAAAACCCTTAAAAGGAGGGAAGGAGGGCATCTTTAATAGCCAAGCTTAAAATTAAAGGCGACTGAAATATTAATTCTTAAACAGCGCTCTGGTTTCCTGAGTAGCCAAGAAAGCACTATTTAGCTCTTTTTTTAGACTTTACAGGAATAGGAAGTGCTATGTATCAACATTTAATTTAGAAACTATGAATGCTTTCAGATATGCCATCTTAAATGTTTTTACTTAGGGTGAGGGTTATTTCAGTGACATTTACTTTGTTTTTGGGCATAATTAGAGGATGAGGATCTCATATAAGTGCATTTTAAAATAACGAAAGCTTGCTCATTTAAGAGCCTATATTTTTTATTTCAAATGTTTCTGAAGTAAATCTTTTAAAAATGTAATTGTCCAATCATTTCCTTTTGTAAACAAAAGTGTTTAATAGACATATAACTCTTCCTAATGGTCCATGGCAGGACGCCCAAGTGAATCTTTGTGTCTGGGAAACTTAGATTTGAAGAGAACCCCAGTTCACCCAGTCCATCTCCCTCATCTTCCTGCCCGATTTATAGAAGAAAGATTTGAGGAGCTACTTCCAGCCAAATGCCCTGAGATTTCTTCGGTACTCTTCTCCTTCCAGACATCCATGACCTGGAGCTTTGCTTTCATTATAGAAGTGCTCAGTTGCTCAGGCTTTGCCCTCAACAAGCTGCAACCCACTCTCTTTCTAGGGTTCACCTCAAGGAGCTGCTGACTGGCCCCCAATGCAGCCCCACAATGTACCCCTACAGCTCTTGCACACCCACTTTTCTGTCTGGGATTCCTTTCCATCTGGTCCACCTTAGATGGCCGATAGCCACCTTGCTTTATCTGTCATAGGTCATATTTAAGGATAATTTCCTCTGGGGAACTTTCCAACTCCCCCAGGCGGAAATAGTTCCTCCCTACATTACATCCTTGATTTTCTCTATGAGTTCTCCTCTCTCAGCTCTTGGCCACATTTGTACCATACCTTGAGTGTCCATCTGTCTTTGCTCACTCACTCATTGAGCTTAAGGATTCAATCCAACTCATCTTTCCTGTTCCCAATCTGATAACTAGCAGCTCTCTATGGGGATAAATTAATTGTGGGACAAAGAAGATACTCTAAATCCACATCACTCACTCACTTCCAATCCCTCTCAGATGAGCTTCTTTTAATTTAATTCTTATCAAGTTCTTTTAATTTAATTTTTGTCAAATACTTGATATCTTGAATGATGAGGAGAGAATTGGAGAGTCTCTGTGTGTGTGTCTCTGTGTGTAGGAAGACAAGTCACATATTCTCACCCTGAGACATAGTTTTTTTCTGCCAGCCAAGGAGAAGGAGCTTCCTGCCCATCAGAGACCCCACCCTTTTTACCTGGCAGGGTGTGCTGTGAGGCATTGCCCAGAGTGTCTTGTGCAACTTGGGGAAACGTTGAAATCACAACCTACAGCTAACAGGAACTACTGAACCTTACAGAGTTTTGTAGCCCATGCCTAATATTAATATACTCTGTCTCCTAGATCACCTCAAAGTAGTGAATTTTAGCTCTTTTGTCTGCATGTCTGCACCATGCGTATTTGTTGCCATTTGTTTTCATTGCCATTGTGAAGCCACACTGCCTGTGCTTACATTTCGCCTTCATTACTTGATCATTCAACCTCTCAGTTCTTCTGTTTCCTCACTGATAAAAATGGTGGTGTAAAGACTAAATGGATTATTGTACAGAAAATGTTGGGAAGAGGGCCGGTAGCACCAACACAGCCTGAAGCATGCTCGCTATTATTACTGTTAAGATGACTGTCCAACTTGGAACCCTCACTTCCTGACTCACTGTTATTGTCTTGGGATTTGCTTTGTCTACCCTCTGGTAGCTGGTAGAATCAGACTGGCTCAATTGACTGTAATAAGTAAGGCCAGAGTGATTAGGCTTTTAGTAAGGACTCTAAAAAAAAAAAAAAAACTAAAAAATCTATATGTGCTCTGGAGCACATATAATTTTAGGCTGTGGGTTAGCATCCAGGGGCCCTCTTTTTTCCTTTCTGATTCATGCCTCTGTTAAGAATAGTCGAAGTTGCCAGAAAAGTGATTTTTGTATAAGTAAGAGAGGTGAGATCATGTTAAATTAGGAATCAGAGTCAAGAAAAGATGAGAAGCTTTATTTAGAATGAGATTTGGGCTGAAAATGACTGTAGATGTTTTTCTTTTTTAATAGTGTGAGAAATACAGCCACAGGTTTGAAATGGAACTATTTAAACGTTTATTTTAGCCTAGTTGAAAAAAGAAGAGAGCCAGTCTCTTCCTAGACCTGAACAATTTATCTTTAGGATGTATAAAGAAAGTGAGAGACTGCATGACCTTGTTTTCTCTGAAATTTTCGCTACCTTGCTTTCTGTCTCTTTTTTGCTTTTTTTGAGGGGGGATAATGTGTATTGTTAATGCTGAAAATAGTAAATGATTTTTTTTTCTTTGCAATAGATGTGGAAAGTTAATAAAAAACAGGCATCATAGCCTATGCAAGTGTGTTACAGAGTACAGCTAGGTGAGTGACTCCTGATGAGCCTTTTCTCCATAGTTCTGGAATCCCATAGACTGATCATATCTAGATCCAGAGTTGCCTATAGTTGGTCCTTCAAACAGGCTGGCCTGTCCGCAGAACATTTACAGACACAGTCTGGCCTCTAGGCAAAGTTCTCAACTGAGTGTCCTGCTTAAAGGCAAGTTGTGAATTTCTTTTTAATTTTTATTTTATTGTAAATTGACAACTTATAATTTCATGTATTTATGAGGTACAAAGTGATGTTTGATTTATGAATGCAATGTGCAATACTTAAATAAATGTAACAAATATATCAATACATCAAACACTTATTTTTTGTGGTGAGAACATTTAAAATTATGAAAAGATGAAATATTGAATTATGAAATTATGAAATATACAATACTGTATTCTTAACCATATTTACCATGCTGTGCAATAGACCTCAAAACCACTGTAACAACGACAACAATGTCTCCTATCTGAGGTTGAGTTTGGTTCTTGAAATTTGTCTCTCTCTTTCTTTCTCTATTGACTTATCTAGCTCCCTGAATATTTTTACTGATTTCACAAAAAAAGTTATAAAATGATGGAAGGTTTTATCTGCCTTGCTCATTTAATCTTCACAATAGCCATGTTAGATACACATCATTACCCTTATTCTAAAGATAAATAAATGGAGGCATGAAAAATATAAATAAGTTACCCAACTTTATAGCCAGAAAGTGTTAAAGTGAGAACTATAGCAGGGTCTTTCTGACCCTGGGGATCTTGTGTTCTTGGCTACTCACTACCTAGAAACCCTAAATAAATTAAGTTCTAAACTTATGAGATTTTTGCCAAATGATACATAGCTGCCAAAAAAGAACCACTTGAATTTGGACAAATATATTCCTGTAAATATACAGGGAGGCTTCTTTATCTTTTGACTTGTTATCAGCTTGACTCTCTTATTGATAAAGTGGCACCATGTTGAGAAAGAGTGAAAATAAAGTTTTATGTGTTACAGTATTTCTAAAATTTGGAATGACGTTTCTGAAAACACGAGCACCTCTTGTCCTCCTTTCTGCCATCCTTGAATAGAAATGATATGGCTGGAAATTCAGGGTAATGGAGAAAGAACCCTGTGCTATTTGTCACGACCTCTACTTCTGTGATTCCTCCCCCTAAATACAAAGATAATGTTTTAAGGGAATATGACACAGTTACTTCCTAAAATAAATGAAGAATTTTAATGTAAATGAACGTATTATTTTAAAGAAAGATGGATTATGATGGTCTGTTGGATAAATTCAGGAAAAGAACTCTTTGCCTAAAATTACCCAGCCTGTTCAAGATGCAGTGATATATATGGAACAGCTCCTCCACAGAAAGTCCGAGCCGTTTCTTCTCCCAGAAAGTGACCCAGTAAAAATGCTAAATATACACCCAGGTCCTCTCTAACTGTATAGGCAATAATGGAAAGAGATGACTCAGCCTTGTAACGACAGGAGACCCGTGGAAATGGTTTCTTTTACTGGAGTTGGTCTAAATTTCTGTTTTGTTAAAAGTTTTAGGCTATTTAAAATCAATAGTAATATTTAACCTATATTTTACAAAAAAGAAATACATTTGTTTCTTTAAAGAAGTTCAGAGATAGCTGACTAATGAGCTTATTAACCCAGGGTTTATAATAGAATGCTGAAATTATACACAGGATAAGATGCATGATACCTCCTTGGCTTTGGTTTTCTTATTTTTTCAGGGAATCACATAAGTCAAGTTAGATATTAAATTTGCCTGTATACATTTATTTTTAAAGAAGATGTTTCAGGATATTTCAATTGTACTGTCTACAAAGAATACCTCTGGCATCCAAAATGGAATTACCTCTTTTGAGGGACCAAATTGCACAGAAAACCAGGATAAGATTCTATCTAGTCATACAAATGCAAGAAGGTTTGCTTGGCATTTCTGTGGACTAATATTGAATTCCATGGAGTCAGTTGCCAAGAGCTGGAGATTCAGGGTCATGGATATGCTTCCCACAGCTCCTTCTCTGCATACGGGGAGTCTCATTACTGCCTGTCTGTATTCCTGCACATGCCTCCGTACCCATGTTTCTGCCTGTTTCTTCTTCTTCTTCCCTTTTTTTCATTTGCTGAAATAATGGATGCCAGTTTAACTTACTTTGTTTTGAAGCAGTACGATCAAAATCTGTTCCAGTGTACCTACAGCATCCCCACTGCCATGATGTAATATTTGTCTCCATCATTCCAGTTACTCTACAGACAGTTCCAACTGGTAAATTCTCTGGTGCTCGATGCCTCAGTGAAACTTACCCATCTGCTCTGTGTAACTCCAGTAAACCCTAGATTCCACCACCACAGTTTAGTCTGGCTGCAGGACATTCTTCCTCTTACACCCTCTTGCTCCTGGTGACATCATAATCATCTTCTAACATTGGTCCTCAATTTCACCCACCTCCCAGATACTTTCAAAGGAGTTGTATGAGAGAGGGATGGGGCATAGACTAAGGGACACATATTGGATCTGCCATTGTACCTGTAAGCAATTGACTTGATCAATGTCTTGGTTTCCTCAGTTTTAAACTTGGAAGAAATAGTCCCTCAAAGAGAGAATTCAGGAACATACCCTACATGAACTGCTTTCTGCAGAGTAGACAGTAATGAGGGGTCAATTCCTGTTTTCTTCCCAACACTCACTGCTTTCCTCATTAGGATTGCGTGTCCTCTGGTGCTACTAGAGAACTGAACATTGCATCGTTTGAACTTTAGATGACATGTTAGAGTTTTGGGAGATATTGGGGCTTTGTGCTGACTTTTTGGTTTTATTTTATTTTGTTTTGTTTTTGAGACAAGGCCTTGCTCTGTTGCCCAGGCTGGAGTGCAGTGATGAAATCATAGCTCACTGCAGCCTCAAACTTCTGGGCTCAAACGGTCCTCCCACCTCAGCCTCCAGAGTAGCTGGGACTACAGGTACATGCCTGGCTATTTTTTAAATTTTTTTTATAGAGATGGTGTCTCACTGTGTTGCACAGACTAGTTTCAAACCCCTGGGCTCCAGCAATCCTCCTGTTTTGGCCTCCCAAAGTGCTAGGATTATAGGCATGAGCCATCATGGCTGTCCTGTGCTTACTTCATGTGACTGTTTTATAACAACCCCCCAACTCCAAGCAGGAATATATGTTTTGCTTCTTTCTGTTCCTAGCAGTATGACCTTGAGTAAGTCATTCTCAAGGTCATACTGTGGTTCAGTCTCATCGGTAAAATGAGGCTAACAATAGCACTGACTCTTGAGTTGCTGTGAGGATTATATGAATTCACACACGTATTTAGAATAGTGCCTCACATGGAGTAAGTGCTCTATCCCTTTATGTTTAATAGTAACTGATTTTTTAATTATAAAACCTTGGTCCTCTGTGGTTCTTATACCAAACTTTTTGCATGGGTAGGGCACTGATCTTCTTCATAGCAGTCAGAAATCCCATCATTTTAGCCAAGTTAGTTTTTTCCCCTTGGCATTTGGTTTGCTGCTGGCATAGTATTTGCTTTTCCTGCTTTTGCTTATGGCACAGATGCATGAGTTAGCATGACTCGGACTGGTATGTTAGTGTGTTTTTGCTCCGTAGTTTGTCTTCACAGATACTTGGTCAAACTTGGCCATTACACAGTCTGATGATAGCTCTGTTTCCTTTATGTTATCATTCTTTCAGTAATGAGAGTTGAATTCTTTCTCTCTCCTGCCTCAGATCCTCAGGTGACATTGCACAAGGGCAGCTGCAGCCAATGCCTTGTCCAGGCAGTTATATTAGTGTTATTTCTAGACATTGTCTGCCCTGAATACCTGTTAGCTTCCTGATCTTGGCATACTAGTCTGAATGAGATAAAAGGAAACATAATGGTCTCCAGTGTATAGGATTATTTGACTAAACAGGAACTTGCCATGTGTTATGTGTGTCAACAAATTCTCATTTTTCATGAGTTCTTTCAACTCTCTTATTAATTTCCTGTGATACAAGCTAATATTTCTGGCTCTACAACCCAACTTCTTTTTACTACATGATGTCCGCTGTCATTATAACACCTCTTAATCTCTCTTTCTGTCTCTTCCTCAATCCCCAAATCTGCTCTGTGTTACCTGCTCAGATTTCTCTATAAGAGAATAGATCCTAAGCCAAATATTACTTTGGCAGTGAAAAAAAAAAACACATAAGAACACCAAGTGAAAAGCTGGTGAAATGGATTCACGTGGAACTATCTTTAAATCTTGGCACCACAATTTTTACCTTGGGAAATTATGAACTTTGGTCTCCTATGTTATTTTAAGACAGAATAAGTAGTATACCCAGAGTACCTGTTACCTTTAAACATGGCTCAGTAATTGAAAGGCATATTACTAGAAGTATTTGGAGATAATTATAATACTTGGAATATCAACAGATAAAAATACTAGTTGATTTTTCCCCTGAACTTCAGAGACACTCATTTGACCTCCAAAATAGAATGCCTTGTTCTTGATACTCATTTTTTCGTTTAATACATTCAGTGTTCCTGCTGCAGGTGCCAAATGCCAGCCTTGAGTTTCGTGCTTTTAAGTAGAGGTATAGAAAACACAGAGCTTATGGAGCCCACTCTTTCTCAGTTTATGTTACTTTCACTGTGAGCACCTGCTTACTGTTTGGCAAACTAGACATAACTGTTCAGCATCTGACGGATAACCCTGCTGAGGACGGACACTGGCATCCTCCTCCAACACCTCCTTCTGTGTTCCTAGTGTTTGCCCTCAAACAGTCTCCCTGCAAAGGTGGGAGCACCTGAAACTAGGATTGAAGAATTCAGTTCATCCAAAATTCTGTTCTTTCTTCTGCTGGTGTCATTAGTTTTTGAGGCAAGTCTAAATCAACCAAATATAGAGTCTGGAATTCTAATATAGTAGATCTGAATGTTGGCTGAACAGTGGAATCGTCTGGAAAACCTTAAAAGGTATAAATGCCTGGTCCCACCCCAGAGCTCTGGAGCATCTGGATCTGTATGACCTGGAAGGCAGCAATTGGCATTAGTTTCTTCCTTGCTTTGCTCCCCGAGGTTGCTTGCATTGACAGGGGAAACCAATTTCATTTGACATCTGATACTCAGGACTGCCCCGCTATTCTCACCCCCTTCAATGAGATGCATACTAATTAGATGTCAAGAAAAGATCAAATCCTTCAGACCCTCAATACCACTATTGCGATGTCATTTCAAGTATTTTATCTATCTACTTCATCACAGTGATCTGCTTTAGATGATAGGTAACTTGTTTTATCTTTGAGATTATATTGGTAGCTTAAATTTCTTGGTTACATCACCTTGAAAGGTGTAGGTTATTGGGAAATTCTGAATAGGATAGCGTTATGGAGAATTGGCTTTCGAACTGATGAATCCTGTATTTGGAATCTACCATCTTTGGCAGGTAACTTGAACTCTTTGGGACTCTTCATCCACATCTGTAAAGTGGGATTAATAGGGCTGTAGTAATTATTAACTTACATTGGATCAGATATATTTTGTGAAAATCCACACCTAACCCTTGCCTGGAATATATGAAGTTCTCCCAAAATATATACTTTTTACCCCAATGAGTAAGGATAAAAATATTTAACAAGTTTGGCTAACACAGGAACAGAAAACCAAACACTGCATGTTCTCACTCGTAAGTGAGGCGGAACTTTCTGTTCCTACAGGGAGGGGAACGTCACACAACGGGGCCTGTCGGGGGGTGGAGGGCAAGAGGAGGGAGAACATTAGGACAAATACCTAATGCATGAGGGGCTTAAAACCTAGATGATGGGTTGATGTGTGCAGCAAACCACCATGGCACAGGTATACCTAAGTAACAAACCTGCATGTTCTGCACATGTATCCCAGAACTTAAAGTAAAAAAAAAAAAAAAAGTTTAACAAGTTTGGATGCCAAATATATGTTTTCTAAGGAAAAAAATACCACAGTATAATCTGTTGCTTTCTTTCAGCCTTGTGTCATTCATCACAGACTATTTACTTGACACAGCAAAACATCATATCATCTAATAATGGCCCGATTGTCAGCTTCTCAATAGACCAATCATCATCCCCATTTGACAAGCACATTTTACTCAGAAATGACATCAAAATGCAATATTTTTCTTGTCAAGCTGAACTATGCCATGCCTACTGACTCCTGTATATTCTCAATATTCATTACCCTTTTACTTGGTCTCACCCTTTTGCTGTCAAATCGCCTCATTTTATTTATTTAATAATCTGACAAAGATGAAAGAAATATTACCATGGGCTTATGAGACAATTGAAATGTCCTTTACTGTCATCATTTTCATTTAGATGAGAGAGGCATCCCCCGGTCATGAATTTAATTTAAGCAATGTCTGCGTGTTGAATGTTTTGTTGTGCAGCTGTGTCAGTGTGTGTGTTTATGTGTGTGTGTGTGTTTCCAAAAGTAGTTTCCTGAGGTAGACTTTATGTACAGCCCTCAGATTAAGTGATCTTCACCAAACTCTGCTCTTTGTTATATTGCAAAGACATTATTTTAAATCATTCAGTCTATAAACCTGAAATAAAACCTTACTCAATTCTAAGTGGATGTCATTTAATCAACATAAATCATGGCTGTATATATTTAACATTACTTAAATTCTGTTAAAGTTTTTTGAAAAATGATAACTAGCTGGGACACCTCTTTTTAGTAAAGATAAATTCTGAAGATCTTAGGCAAGTGTTCTTCAACAAATACCATCAATATGCTGGTTAACCCCAAATGTATATTTTTAGTCTTGACTTCTATTATAAGGCACAGACTCCTATATCAAATTAGCATTGCTTTCTCCAAAATATTGAACTCATATGAGGTATGTCTGTGTGGCTGAGATCATACTCATTATCTTCCCTCTCCAGGTGGTTCCCCTTCCAATGTCCCCGGCTCACTAGACCATGCTTATATATTCTGAATACTGCCCAGATTTGTGTAATTTTCTTTATCTTCAATGTTGCTAATTCAAGTCAAGGCACCGTCAGGTCTCCCTGGACTTCAGTATGCTCTGTGGAAGAAAGATGTCATTCTCTCTGTTTAGCAATTAATCTATTAGATAGCAAGATTATTTTTTCAAAAGGCCTGTAGGGAGAAAGACAAGGTGAAAGATCTTAATTGTGGTGACCATGAAATTTATTTTACAAACAAGGACGCTTAAGAGTGAAGGGAGCAACTACTGATAATTATTCCAGGACTATCGCCATAGAAAAGATTAGTCCCAGGAAACTGGGGTGTTGGACAGCCAGATCTTAATACTTTTCACTAGAAAGTGAATTTCACCATTAATGAAGACATAGACTTGAAGAATTAATGTAGAAATGATCGATACCTTAGATAATAAATTAAATATCATAAGGTTGTTATTACCACTTAGGAAAATAAATTTATTTTTCTTTAACAAATAAATTCTAAAAATATTATTCCCTATAATGTATAATGAGTAAATTTAATTTTTTTCTACAAACATGTAGAACAAACTTGCAGTAATTATAGGGTTATATTTCATAGAAGCTGCAACATGAGACATACAGAACAAAAGCTGGGTGGTTATGAATCAAGCCATTCTAGACAATCTTTTGGCCCAGTAGATGTCCTAGTAGATGTTTCGGTAGATCAGCCACAAGTTGGTGATGACAAGGCACAGATAGTATGCAGAGATTTAATTGAAATTATCACTTCATTCTGACTGCTGCTCTTTATTCTTTATAGTAATTGGCATATAAATATTCCTTGATGCCAGAAAGACCAAAGAATTAATTTCTCCTTTGGCCGCTTCTTTGAACTGGCATTTTAACCTCTCTACACATTCATGTTTCTTCTGTTTTAAGGAAGTGATGACATTTATTCTGCCTACTTCATAGGACTCTAGGAATATTTAATGGAGTAGTACAGATGTGAGTTCTCTGCAACCTGCGTAAGTTCTTTGCAAATGATTGGTGTTATCATAAGTGCTAGACTACCAGCAGCAAAGGGAGGCCTATTTTGCTGGTTCATAAGAGCCCAGGTTGGAGACACAGTTGGCAGTACAGAAGGGTGCCCTAGTCGTAAGCTAGACAAAGCCTTGCTCACAGTCTTCCTCTGTCACAATGTTATAACAGTTTCAGTGAAATTTGAGATATGGCATTCTCATGACTATGGTGAGAAAGTTGTTTTGACTTGTTGTTCAATCCTTGAGCAAAAATAAGCCTTTCCTAAAGTCTGCATGCTGGGTCCCTAACACTTGAAGGAGATCCATGGGCCATGCGGCTTCAGCTCCATGCAGAGGGTGGCTGCAGGTGCTGCAAGGGCAGCTTAAGTTCTGGACAGTCATCTCTGTTCAATGGAATTTGTAAGGTCAAAAAGTAGACTTAAAACCAAAGTGATGGGGCTGGGGGAGTGGAGAGGAATAGACCCTGCCTATGTGAAGTTAGTAGTGGAATAGTTCTCTCCTGAAGGTAAACCTAGTTTTCAAATTGCTTTGTTTATTGGTTGGCTTCTCTACCTGCATGAAAAGTTTATGCGTTTTAGAACGTGGCAAAACAAGTGGAGCATGACTTATGTTTCATAATGTACAGAGCTGATTTCCTGAGTTCCAGGACAATGTTCAGCCCTTTAGTCCCTTGAGAAGTTGGTTCTCTCTCTCTCTTATCCATACCCTCCTGAAACATACACTCCTCTAAAACTCATGTTATCACCAGAAGTGTGATACCAAAGCTTAGTTAATACTTTGGGCACAGATATTTGGCTAACTTCCTTGTAAATATGCACAGTAAACCTGAGTGGAAGTGTGCCACCCTTTCCTTCTTCCCAGTTGGTGCCAGGACAGGTGGCATCAGCCTATCCTAGCCACCTGTCTCCAGAAACCCCAGTCTGCCCCAGGGTGGACTCCTTAGCCCACACTCTCAGCACAGCCACTGATCTTGACAATGCAAAATGCAAGCATTTCAGAGACATAGTGGGGCATCCCCACCCTGCTAGGACCTTCCTCTCTCCCACCCTCTTCAGTGCTTGGAGGCTCGGCTCCATAGGAAAGAAAAAGAAGAGTCACTCTGTTTCCTTCATCATAGGAAATTTAACTACCTCATTTTCAAATCATGGAGTGGTTCAGTTTGGAAAAGCCTCAAAGATCACTTAAGGTACTGAAAATTTACAAATGGGAAAATTGAAGCCCATAAATAGAAATCTCTTGGCTAAGATCACGATGTTAATTAATGACTGAGTTGGACTTGTGTTCAGGTCTGCTGTCTAGTCATTGGCCTTCCTTCTACCCGTCGTGATTCCAATGGAAGATAAAATGTGTGCTGGGACACATTTTATCTTACCTAGTTCCGGACAATCATCTTTATTAATAATGCACCATCACTTAAGAGTATGTGCATAATGGCATTGCATTTATTTTCTTTATTGATCATTATGAATATTTCAGTGCTATTTCATTTTTCTAAGGACTGTCATAAATGGCTAGGCATGTTTTAGAGATCTCACCTTAAAAATGTTTTTAAAAACTCAAATTGTGTCATGAATATGGAAGAGATACTTTTCAGCAGTTGCTGGAAAATGACATGTGCATCCCTTATATTAAAACTCTTACTTTCTATATGCCTTCCCAGTAAGTGCCTCCTGTACTCCAGAGAAAACCATTTAGAGGTTAGATTATGATAAGGAAATGCCTTTTGCATTTGTTGTGGAATGAATAAAGGATTTATATCTTTAATGCTGCATTGAACAAATTTGCAGAGAACATTAAATATTCTTTACCTTGACATTTCTGATACCCATGATTTTGATAACCTTTGAGTCATGGATTGTTGATTACAAATGCCTTATATGCGTCTGACTCAAAATATGATAAGAACTCAAACCAGAAGCATTTTTAAAAGCTTGTTTAAATTTCTGGGGTTTTTTTTGTTCACTTCAATTATTTAAGGAATCTGAATAAACAGATTAGCTTTTCCACTTTGAGTTTACAATTAGGGACTGGAACATTTCAGCCAATAATAACCATGTTGATGATAAAAGCACACTGTGTGTATGCTGTCATCTTAATTTGCTTGAGATTTCGGTACCCTAAATTTTTGAAGGTGGAGTCTCACTCTGTCATCCAGGCTGGAGTGCAGTGGCGTGATATCGGCTCACTGCAACCTCGCCTCTCGGGTTCAAGCGATTCTCCTGTCTCAGCCTCGCAAGTAGCTGTGATTACAGATGCCTGCCACCATGCCCAGCTAATTTTTCTATTTTTAGGAGAGACGGGGTTTCACCATTTCGGCCAGGCTGGTCTCAAACTCCTGACCTCAGGTGACCCACCTGCCTTGGCCTCCCAAAGTGCTGGGATTACAGGCATAAGCCACTGCGCCAGGGCAGTGCTCTAAATTTTTAACATAATGTTCTCAATACACAGTATTCCTGTAAAAACCACAATACTACATTGTCAGAGGGCACAGTTCACATTCAATTTCCAGTGATATATCTGATTTTTATTACATGCATGGTTAGTTTAAAGTTAGTCTTAGAACTCCTTTCATTCTGGTTTCCTTATCTCCTCTATAGATTTCCTTGTTTTAATTCTTATGGGTACATAGTTGGTGTATGTATGTATGAGGACATGAGATATTTTGATACAGGTGTGCAATGCAAAATAATCACATTAGGGTAAATGAAATAGCTATCACCTAAAGCATTTATTATTTCTTTGTTTTATGAACATTTCAATTATACTCTTTCAGTTATTTATATATATTGTTGAGATGGAGTCTCACTCTGTTGCCCAGGCTGGAGTGTAGTGCAGTCATGGCTCACTGCAACCTCCACCTTCCAGATTCAAGTAATTCTCCTGGCTCAGCCTCCCAATAGGCATGCTCCACCATGCCCGGCTAATTTTTGTATTTTTAGTAGAGACGGGATTTCATCATGTTGGTCAGGCTGGTCTCGAACTCCTGACCTCAAGTGATCCTCCCACCTCTGCCTCCCAAAGTGCTGGGATTACAGGTGTGAGAACCCACGCCTGTCCTAGTTATTTTTAAATGTGTAATAAATTATCATTGACTGTAATCACCCTATTCTGCTATCAAATACTAGATCTTATTCATTCTATCTTAACTATTTTTTTGTAACCATTAACCATCCCCACTTTCCCTGCCCATTAACCATCACTACCCTTCCAAGCCTCTAGTAACCATCATTCTACTCTCTATCTCCATGCATGCAATTGTTTAATTTTTAGCTTCCACAGATGAGTGAGAACATGCAAAGTTTGTCTTTCTGTGCTCCACTGTGTATATGTATCATATTTTCTTTTTTTTTGCTTCTCCATTCATATTCTTTTATTCTATCAATTTTTTAGACTATATGTATGTATCACTTTTTCTTTATATATATATATTTTTATTATACTTTAAGTTCTAGGGTACATGTATGTGCATGACGTGCAGGTTTGTTGCATATGTATACATGTGCCTTGTTGGTGTGCTGCACCCATTAACTCGTCATTTACATTAGGTATATTTCCTAATGCTATCCCTCCCCTCTCCCCCAACCCCACAACAGGCCCCAGTGTGTGATGTTCCCCTTCCTGTGTCCAAGTTCATCTGTTGATGGAAACAGGTTGCTTCTAAATCTTGGCTATTGTGAATAGTGCTACAATAAACATGGGTGTGTGGATATCTCTTTGATATACTGATTTCATTTTTTTGGGGGGGTATATACCTAGCAGTGGGATTGGTGGATTATATGGTAGTTCCATTTTTAGTTTCTTGAGGAACCTCTATATTGTTCTCTATAGTTGTTGTACTGATTTGCCTTCCTACCACAAAGTACAAGGGTTCCCTTTTCTCCACATTCTCGCCAGCATTTGTTATTGCCTGTCTTTGGATAAAAGCCATTTTGACTGGGGTGAGATGATATCTCATTGTAGTTTTGATTTGCATTTCTCTGGTGATCAGTGTTGTTAAGCACCTTTTCATCTGCCTGTTTGCCATTCGTGTGTCTTTTTTTGAGAAATTTCTATTCAGATTTTTTGCCCATTTTAAAATCAGATTACTGGACTTTTTTCCTATGGAGTTGTTTGAGCTCCTTATGTATTCTGGTTATTAATCCCTTGCCACATGGATAATTTGCAAATATTTCCTTCCATTCTGTAGGTTGTCAATTCACTTTGTTGATTGTTTTCTTTGCAGTGCAGATGCTTTTTAATTTGATGTGATCTTCTTTGTCTATTTTTGCTTTGGTTGCCTGTGCTTGTGGTGTATTACTCAAGCAATATTTACTCTGACAAATATCCTAGAAAGTATCCCCAATGTTCTCTTTTAGTATTTTCATTGTTTGAGGTCTTAGATTTAAGTATTTAATCCATTTTGATTTGATTTCTGTATATGGCAAGAGATAGGGGTCTAATTTCATTGTTCTGCATATGGATATCCAGTTTTCCCAGCACTATTTAAAGAGACTACCCTTTCCCCAATGTATGTTCTTAGCTTGTTTGTTGAAAATTAGTTCACTGTAGGTGTATGGATTTATTTCTGGGTTCTCTATTCTGTTCCATTAGTCTATATGTCTGTTTTTATGTATCCATGCTGTTTGGGTTACAATAGCTCTGTAATATACTTTGAGGTCAAGTAATGTGATTCCTCCAGTTTTTTTCTTTTTGCCCAGGTTGGCTTTGGGTATTCTGGGTCTTTTGTGGTTTCCCTATCAAATTTAGGATTATTTTTTCTATTTCTGTGAAGAATGTTATTGGTATTATGATAGGTGTTCTATCAAATCTGTATATTGCTTTGGGTAGTTTGGCATTTTAACAATACTGATTCTTGCAATCCATGAACATGGAATATCTTTATTTTTTGTTCTCTCTGTAATTTCTTGCATCAATGTTGTATAGTTTTCATTGTAGATAACTTTAATTTCTTTGGTTAAGTTTATTCCTAGGTATTTAATTTTATTTGTAGCTATTGTAAATGAGATTACTTTTTTATTTCTTTTTCAGATTGTTTTCTGTTGGCATATAGAAATGCTATTGATGTGTGTATGTTGATTTTATGTTTTCCAACTTTGCTCAGTTTGTTTATCAGTAGTAATAGTTTTTTTGGTGCAGTCTTCAGACGTTTCCAAATGTAAGATTATATCATCTGCAAGCAAGGATAATTTGATCTCTTCCTTTCCAAATTGGTTGCCATTTATTTCTGTCTCTTGTCTGAGTGCTCTACCTAGAGTTTCCAGTACTATGTTGAATAACAGTGGAGAAAGTGGGCATTCTTATCTTGTACCAGCTCTTAGAGGTAAGGCTTTCAGTTGTTCCCTGTTTAGTATGATACTAGCTGTGGGTCTGTCATATATGACTTTTATTGTGTTGAGATATGTTTCTTCCATACCCAGTTTTATAAGTATTTTTATTATGAAGGGATATTAAATTTTAACAAATGCATTTTCAATATCAATGGAAATAATCATATGGTTTTTGTTCCTCATTCTGTTAATATGATGTTATCGTGTTGATTGATTTGCATATGTTGAACCATCTTTGCATCCCTGGAATAAATCCCAAGTGGTCATGATGAATGATTGTTTTAATATGTTATTGAATGCAGTTTGCTAATATCTTTTATATATATATGATATATATGATATATATATGATATATATATATGATATATATATATCATATATATATGATATATATGATATATATATGATATATATATATCTTTGTCTGGTTTTGTTATCAGAGTAATACGGGCCTAATAGAAGTTTGGAAGTATTTCCTCCTCCTCCTCTAATTTTTGGAATAGTTTAAGTAGGATTGGTATTAGTTCTTCATTAAATATTTGGTAAAATTCAGCGGTGAAGCCGTCTGGTCTTGGGCCTTTCTTTGCTGCGATACTTTTTATTACAGCTTTGATCTCATTACTTGTTATTCGTCTATTCAGGTTTTGGATTTCTTCATGTTTCAATCTTGGTAGGTTGTATGTATCTAGGAATTTATCCTTTTCTTGTAGGTTTTTCAATTTATTGACATATATTTGCTCATATTAATCTCTAATTATTCTTTGAATTTCTTCAATATAAATTATGACATATCTTTTTCAATCTCTGATTTATTTGGATCTTCTCTTTTTGTAGTTAGTTTAGCTAAAGTTTTGTTGATTTTGTTTATTTTTACAAAAAATCAACTTCATTTTGTTGATTTTTTGTATTTTTTATTTCAATTTTATTTATTTCTGCTATATTCTTTATTATTTCTTTTCTTCTACTAATTTTAGATTTTGTTTGTTCTTGCTTTTCTATTTCTTTAAAATGCATCATTAAGTTGTTTATTTGAAATTTTTCTACTTTTTTGATGTAGGCTCTTATTGCTAGAAACTTTTCTCTTAGCACTGCTTTTGCTGTACCTCATATTTTTTTAACATTGTTATTTTGAAAAACTTTTATTTTAGGTTTGGGGATATATGTGAAGGTTTGTTACATACATAAACTCATGACACAGGGGTTGTTTTACAGATTATTTCATCACCCAGGAATTAAGTCCCATACCCAATAGTTATATTTTCTGTTCGTCTCCCTCCTGCCACCCTGCACCCTCAAGTAGACCCCCGTGCCTGTTGTTTCCTTCTTTGTATTCATAAGTTCTCTTCATTTAGCTCCCACTTATATGTGAGAACATGTGGTATTTGGTATTCTGCTTCTGCATTAGTTTACTGAGGACAGTAGCCTCCAGCTCCATCCATATTCTCACCAAAGACATAATCTCCTTCTTTTTTATGGCTGCATAGTATTCCATGGTGTATATGTACCACGTTTTCTTTATATTGTCTATCATCAGTGGGCAGTTAGGTTGATTCCATGTCTTTGCTATTGTGAATAGTGCTGCAATGAACATTCACATGCATGTGTATTTATAGTAGAATGATGTATATTTCTCTGGGTGGTATATACCCGGTAATGGGATTGCTGGATGGAATGGAAGTTCTACTTTTAGCTCTTTGAGGAATCGCCATACTGCCTTCCACAATGGTTGAATTAATGTACACTTCCATCAAGAGTGTATTTGTGTTCCCTTTTCTCTGCAACCTCACCAGCATATGTTATTTTTTGGCTTTTAAATAATGGCCATTCTGACTGGTGTGGGATGGTATCTCATTGTGGGTTTGATTTGCATTTCTCTAATGATCACTGATATTGTGCTTTTTTCATATGCTTGTTGGCTGCATGTATGTCTTCTTTTGAGAAGTGTCTGTTCATGTCCTTTGCCCACTTTTTGATGGGGTTGTTTGTTTTTCTCTTGTAAATTTAAATTCTTTATAGGTGCTGGATATTAGACCTTTGTCACATGCATAGTTTGCAAAAATTTACTCCCATTCTGTAAGTTGTCTTGTTTACTCTGTTGAAAGTTTCTTTTCCTGTGCAGACGCTCTTAAGTTAATTAGATCCCACTTGTCAATTTTTGCTTTCGTAGCGATTTCTTTTGGTGTCTGTCATGAAATTTTTGCTTTTTCCTATGTCTAGGATGGTAATGACTAGGCTGTCTTCCAAGGTTTTTATAGTTTGGGGTTTTATATTTACACCTTTAATCCATCTTGAATTGATTTTGGTATATCGTATAAGGAAAGGGTCCAGCTTCAGTCTTCTGCTTATGGCTGGCCAGTTATCCCAGCATCATTTATTGAATAGAGAGTCTTTTCCCCATTGCTTGTTTTTGTCAGCTGTGTTGAAGATCAGGTGGTCATAAATGTGTTGCCTTATTTCTGGACTCTCTGTTCTGTTCTATTGGTCTGTGTGCCTGTTTTTGCATCAGTATTATGCTATTTTGGTTATTGTAGCCCTGTAGTATAGTTTGAAGGTGGGCAACATGATGCCTCCAGCTTTGTTCTTTTTGCTTAGGATTGCCTTGGCTATTCGGGCTCTTTTTTGGTTCCATATGAATTTTAAAATTCATATAAAATTTAAATTTAAATTTATGTTCATCTAAATTTTAAATTTAAATTTATATAAAAATTTCAGCCAGACATGGTGGCTCATGCCTGTAATCCCAGTACTTTGGGAGGCTGAGGCAGGCAGATCACCTGAGGTCAGGAGTTCAAGACCAGCCCAGCCAACATGGTGAAACCTCATCTCTACTAAAAAATACCACAAAATTAGCCAGGCGTGGTGGCACATGCCTGTAGTCCCAGCTACTCGGGAGGCTGAGGCAGGAGAATCATTTGAACCTGGGAGGTGGAGGTTGCAGTGAGCCGAGATCACACAACTGCACTCCAACCAGTGTGAGTGGGACTCCCTCTCAAAAAAAAAAAAAAAAATTCCATATGAAATTAAAAATTTTAATATCTTTCCTGGATTATAGGGTTTCCACTGAGAATTCTGCTGCCACATATTCTAAAGCTTCATTGTATGTTATTTCTTTCTTTCTCCTGCTGCTTTTAGGATCCTTTTTTATCCTTGATCTTTGGTAGTTTGATTGTTAAATGTCTTGAGGTAGGCTTCTTTAGGCTAAATCTGCTTGGCATGCTGTAACTTTCTTTAATTGACTATTGATATCTTTCTCTAGATTTTGAAAGCTCTCTGTTATTATCCCTTTAAATAAACTTTCTACCCCATTTCTCTCTCTACTTCCTTTTTAAGGCAAATAACTCTTGGATATGCCCCTTTGAGACTATTTTCTAGATTTGGTAGATGTGCTTCATTCTTTTTGCTTTTGTTTTCTCTGACCTTGTATTTTGTAATAGCCTGTCTTCAGGCTCACTAATTCTGTCATCTGCTTGCCCTATTCTGCTTTTGAGAGAGTCTGATGCATTCTTGAATATGTCAGTTGAATTTTTCAGCCTTAGAATTTCTTCTTGATTTTTAAAAATGATTTCAATCTTTTCGTTAAATTTATCTGATAGGATTCTGAATTTCTTCTTTGTATTTTCTTGAATTTTGTCAAGCTTCCTTAAAACAGCAATTTTGAATTCTCTGTCTGAAATGTCACATATCTCTGTCACTCTGGGATTGGCCACTGGTGCCTTATTTGGTTTGTTTTGTGAGGTCATCTTTCCTGAATGGTCTTGATGCTTGAGGATATTCGTCAATGTCTAGGCATTGAAGAGTTGGGTATTTTTTGTAGTCTTTGCAGCCTAGGCTTCTTTGTACCCATTCTTCTAGGAAAGGCTTTTCATGTATTCAAATGGAATAGAGTGCTGTGATCTAAGTTTTTTTGTCACTGCAACCTTATCAGCATTAGGGGACACACCAAGCCCAGTAACACTGACTTGCAGATTCACAGAGGTAGTGCCTTGGTGGTCTTGGGTAAAACCTGAGAGAATTCTCTGGATTACCAGGCAGAGATTCCTGTTTTCTTCTCTTACTTTCCCTCAAACAAATGAGGTCATTCTCCTCTGTGCTGAGCTGCCTTCAGCTGAGGGAGGTGCTACCACCATTGGAACTGCTCTGGTTCAGACTTAGAGCCAGCATAGCACTGGGTCTCTCTCAAGGCCCACAGCAACCATTGCCTGGCTCCCACCTATGTTCATTCAAGGCCCAAGGGCTCTTCATTCAGCATGTGGAAATCCAGCCAGGCGTGTGTCCTTCTCTTTATTGATGTGAGCTCCCTTCAGCCCAGGGAGAGTCCAGAAATGCCATGCACAAGCCATGGCCTGGAGTCAGAAACATTAGGAATCTACTTGATGCTCCATTTTACTGCAGTTGAGCTGGTAGCAAAGCCACAATACAATGTTTTTTCTACTCCTCTCTTTCCTCAAGTAGGAGTCTCTCCCTGTGTCCACCATAGTTATCAATGTTCTGGGTTACACCAGAAGCCAGTACTGTATGCGGGTCTCACCCAAGTCCCATGGCAAGTACTGCCTAGCTATCTCTGATGTTTATTCAGGACCCAAGGGCTCTTTATTCAGCAGAACTTGGGTTCTCACCACTGGGATGGATGACTCCCCTCTGGCTAGGGCTGGTATAAATGCTCCCTCCGTGGGTTCAGGCTGAATTCTGCCATGTTGCTTTCCACTCTGACAGACAGCATCAAGTTCTAATGCGAAGTCTCACAATCACTGTACTCTTTCAAACACATAGATTCTTCATACCACGTGGCTGCTGCTGGGAGATGAGAGAGGGGTAACGTAGGCTTCAAGACTGTCTTTCCTACCCTCTTCAGTACCTCTTTCATTAATATGATGTCAAAACAAGGTACTGTGATTACTCACCTGATTTTGTTTTTTCTGGAGGTGCTTTCTTGTGTGGATAGTTGTTCAATTTGATGTTCGTGTGGGGGAAACAAATGTTGGAGGGTTCTATTTGGTCATCTTGTTCCCCCTCCCTAAGCTCCTCTGTAGATTTTGAATACCAATACTCGTGAGCTTGTTACACATCAGTAAGTAAGAGGTGTAGAAGAAAGGAAATAGCAGAAAAGACACTTGAGATTCTCAGTCAGGATTGCGCTTTTAGAACCAACTCTCTGCTCTGAGCCTTTATGTTGTGAGACGATAAAAATGTAATATTTAAATTCATGCTAAGCCGAAGTGCCAGAATATTAACTAAATGCAGGTGATGTTATCTTCCTCCCACAATACTATTATTTTAACTGATCTTAAACATAAATGGAAACACAGCTCCAGCTAGCACATTTCCTATATTTAAGCCACCCCATCATGAAAAAATAAATAGGTTCATGTAGGAATTGGTAAAGTTCCACAGCTTGAGGCAGAAATTACTGTTTGGTAGCCTATCTGATCAGTTATTTAGACACATTCGTAAACAGATCAGATTATTGATCCATAGAACTAATTGATTCAAGAAAACGGCATTTAGTGAAATTGAAATATCAGAATTTATGTCCTGTCTCAGAATCACTGGGCCAAAAAACATAACCCAGGCTTTAGTATTAAAAGATTGGAGCAGCAAGAATTTGTTATGCATCCACTCTGTGCCTGAGGCTCTGCTGAGCACTGTAGACACAGGCAGAGTCATATACTACAGACAGAATGTTAAGGGTTTATAATCCAGGGGATTTAAGTTAAATACCCCAGAATCTATTTCACTCTAAAACTGAATGCTAACATGCCCTTAGTGCTTTTTTCATGTAACTCAGAATGATCCTTGTCCTTAACTTGGGTAAGTCCGAAGTTTGACATTCAGGCTACTGGTATTTTCTCATCACTTGACAATACATAAAGAAGTTAAACAAAGAGAGTAATCAGTTTTCTGCTTTTTGTTTCTCAAAGTTCAATTTTCATTGCCCTCTATAGCTGAAGATATACAGTTTTCTAAGTTGTGAGAAACAAATCCTGTTTATCTATGATTTTCCTTAATTCAAATACATCTGTGTTTAGTTGAAAAAAATGTGTATATGTGTGTGTGTGTTTTGTCTTGCTCTTTTACTTATCCCTTCTTCTTGTCCCCAGCCCTCTGCACCAGACTTATTTGAAAACATTTTTCCTGGGGGAAAAATATGTCTTTAGAAAAGTACAAAATGCCCAAAGGTAGGATACATTTAATATGAAAGAAATAATTATTAGCTAACTTAAATACCTAATTTCCAAGTTGGCTTACTATATTGGCCCACATAGAAAGAGACACCTCTTCTGATTAAAGCAAGCAAGACCATTTGGTACTATCTTCTTGGCTTCTAATCATCCTCTTTATAGAGTGATACTACTGACAGTGGGATATTATACATATGAAGTGTATTAGTCAGGTTCTCTAGAGGGACAGAACTAATAGGATACATGTATATATGAAAGGGAGTTTATTAAGGAGAATTGACTCACATGATCACAAGGTAAAGTCCCACGATAGGCCATCTGCAAGTCGAGGAGCAAGGAATTCAGTGGTGAATCAGCGCGAGTACCAAAACCTCAAAAGTAAGGAAGCCTACAGTGCAGTCTTCAGTCTGTGGCCCAAGAGCCCCTGGGAAACCACTGGTGTAAGTTCAAGAGTCCCAAAGCTGAAGGACTTGGAGTCTAATGTTCAAGGGCAGGAAGCATCCAGCTTGGGAGACAGATGAAGACCAGAAGACTCAGCAAGTCTGCTCTTCCATCTTCTCCTGCTTGCTTTATTCTAGCCTTGTGGGCAGCTGATTAGATTGTGCTCACCCAGCTTGAGGGAGGGTCTGTCTCCCTCTGTCCACTGACTCAAATGTTAATCTCCTTTGGCAACACCCTCAAAGACATATCCAGGAACAATACTTTGCATCTTTCAATCCAATCAAGTTGACACTCAACCTTAACCATCACATGAAGTATGTTTGTAAATAAAAATGAACTCTGTATCATGATAATCCAAGGTGAAATGGACATTTACTTTTCTGGCAAGTCTGGGTGTTTTCTGCTTGGAAAGCAATGGCACTAGGTTGCATATACAGCCTCTAACAAGCAAGCTCCTGAAATATGATTTCTCATTGAGCAAAATGGTTATTCCACACATAACTGCAGTTTCAGCAGTGCCTTTTTGTTTCTGGTTATTAATTTCTATTTAAGTTGTGCCAAAGTCATTAATTTACTGAGCCAACATGGAAAATGTAAGGCAGTTAACTTTATAAATGACACCATCATGCTTCAGTATATTTGTGCTTAATGCCATTATACCACGTGAAAGATTCTAATTTCCTTATACTTGATGTAACTGGTGGTATTAGAATGCTAAGACTGTGGTAGTGTTTGTTGCTTTAATTGTACTGAACTGACTAGATACAAGTAGCCCGTTAAGTCCTCATTGTCCAATCTGAAAACTACATTATTGTTAATTTTTTTCTTTTGGAAGCATCAAGCTTTCTCAATATTGTGACACTTACATTACTGTTGAAGTCTTTAAGGAGAGAATAAATATGCTAATAACATTCTAGAAGCAACTAACTCTAAGCAAAAGTGAATAGTACAGCACTATCAAGGTGTACACTTTTTTCCCTGGAAAATTATCTCCATCAGGTAATGGGAAAGCACTGCTCTACAGAAAAGCAAAAAATGACTTATAAGCTTGATTCATTGTTACTTTAAAACCCTTCATATCTGAAGGTTAAGCTAACATTAAGGCAGTGTACAACTATCAGAACAATATTTCATATATTTGTATTTAGATGAATCACCAGATTTGTTAGTCTCTGAATATTTTCTATATTGAGCCAGATTTTAGCTGCCATTTTTGTGTTTTAATAAGGTTTTCAGTTGTTATCCAAATATGACCCAGTACCTGAATCAAAACAGCAAGCTTTGAGGAATAGGTCAGTATTTTTGGATAAACTAACAAAAAAAATGTTCATCAGGCTAAGACATCAGCAGTATTTGTGGTAGAATTAATGAGTATTGTTAGTGTATATTTTAACTGTTAATAGTCAATGCTCTATTTTTTCTATGAAAATTCAACTTCCTAGTCGACTCTTTGCACTCCTTCATTCACTTATTATTTTACGGATTTCCCTCTTGTGTCAGATCTCTAGAAATTCTCACTTTTCATCTGGTTTTACAATCATTTTCTATTTTTCTCAGCTCTAGAAAAGTCTCTAAACAACTCCAGGGCAGAGGATCCATTTGTTTAACAGTGGCTTCTTGATCAATAATTGCATGCATGAAACAAAGTATCAGAAATAGTTTGCTCTTTACACTATCAATTGGCTGATATTTAAACAAATTGTCTTTAAAGTCACTGCCGCAATTTTGTTTGGCAATGGCATTTTATTTAATTCATTTATTAAATGAGTTTCCAAAAATTAAGACCTGAATAATTTATGACTTCTTCTAATCTCAACAGAAATAAGTCAATGCTGGCTGGGTGCAGTGACTCACATCTTTAGTCCCAGGTACTTAGGAGGGTAAGGCTAGATGATCGCTTGAGCCCAGGAGTTGAAGACTGCAGTGAACTCTGATTACTATTTCACTCCAGCCTGGGCAACGGAAGGAGACCCCGTCTCAAAAAAATAAAAATAAAAAGTAAAAGAAAAGAGAAAGAAATAAAACAATGTTAATCTGTGTCTTGGCACGAAGTTTCACACTTCCATCAAATGGGCATCATTTTGTGCTGCTAATGTCTCTTAGGGCGATTTTAAAACAAACTAAAAATATGAAACACTGGATAGTGTTAGCCTTACCTAGCTTGATTTTCTTTGGGTGTACATGAATGCAAATAAATTCTACAATTTCTTAAATTCATATATATGTATATATGCACATACATATATTCATATATATGTTTATGTGTGTGTATATACATGTATAGGTATGGTGAGTACATATGGGGAACCAGTTGAAGGATGTTTCTTCTTTTACAAGAAAGGAGAGAAAACAATCTTCCCGAAAAGTGGTATTTACTAGCATGAAAAAGGATTGAGCTTCATATAGGTAGACATTACTGTATTTCTATCATAGGGTTATGTGTGTACATAATCCAATCTGTGTTTATAATTCACATACCTACTCTCCATTATTTTGATGATTCAGGAAAGTAATTTCTCAAAATTTTTCCTTTTGCAAATGTGCTTTTTAGATAACTCACTGGACCTAAACACTTGGCAGGCATTAGGGTCGACCTTCCCTGCTGGGTTGAAGAGGCTCTTTCATCCCCCAGACCTGCAGACTGAAAGTCAGCCAAAGTGCTAGAGATTCTGGCCCTTATGTACCTGCTGCCTATGGACTTGAGTTTTACAGAAAGAAAGCATTACTTGGCAAAAACCTGCTGATCATGTCTTTCCCCTTGGAACCTCACAGCACAAGGCCCAGGCTTACTTTTTGATTCAGTGATGGTGAATTGATGGACTATTATAGAACTTTTCACTTCTGTGAAGCAGCATTGTAGTATCAGCACCCTGCATTTCTCTTAAAATAAAAAAAAAATCACAGTGATTCTAGGTTTTAAAAAGTTGTATTATTCTGCCAAACCATCATAAAATGCTGAATCTTTCTAGTCAATTTTATTGCAAATAACTACTGCTAAAATAAAGTAGAATTAGGTAAGTAACTTTTTTGATAAGCATTTACATTCTTAAGATGTGCTACTGTTCAGTATGTGTGAACTCCTAAGTTGCCAGTACAGTGGGTGCTATTGCTATACTAACGCATTTCACCTGTCCTTTACCTCCTCTTCCAGAGGTGCATACTACGTGAAGTTTTCCAATTGCTGCTGCTTTATTTGCATTTAGTCACCCAGCCAAAGGTTCTCACATTTTATGATGCTTTATAAAAAGCTTCAAGAGCATATTTTAAAAGCACCCTGTCAGACCCCATGAATACACACTCTGAATCAATTGTTACAGATTGAGGCCAACAAATATTCATTTTTTCAAGCTTTCCTGGTAGCTCTTACTAATTCATCCAAGAACATCTTGTTGAGGAATACACAAAAGATTTTGACTGCAGGATTAACCTATTTATACCAAAGCTTTGTATTCCTGGAATGGAGCAGTTGCAAATGCTGATGACTATTGCATTAATTGATGCTTTGAGATGTAGCAGTACTCAACCTGTTCTCTAACATCTGACACTCTGTGGGAAAACAAACCAACAAACAAACAGCAAGAAGGAGTGGTTGAAATAGCAAATAGTCAACCTGGACAGTATCTGGCCTCCCAAGGGAGGCAGAAGTAGTCCTGAGGGATCCTGGGGTCAAAATGTGGTTGTGAAACCCAGAGAGGGGATAAGGGCTGGGTGTTCAGTAGGAACAGTGGGAACACGTGCTTCTGGTTGCTGTTTCCTTTTCACTTATCAGTTTACACGTTTCTAAGCTTAGAGTGGGGTATCGAGAAGCAGGGTCTCATTGGGCATGTATTATGCTGAGCTCAGCTGACTTCAGGAAACATAGCAAAGCATTATAAACTGTAAGGAAGAAGACAGTTACGATAGAAAATTTTATGACAACGTAATGTATCTCTCATGGAAGAGCTGGGGGATGTCCTAGTATAAGAGGTTCTAGAGTCAGCAATAAGATGTGAGAGTCCTCTCTCTCTCTCTCGCTCTTTTTTTTTTTTTTTTTTTGAGACAGAGCAAGACTCTATCTATCTCCAGGCTGGAATGCAGTGGTGCAATCATGGCTCACTGCAGCCTCAACCTTCTCCCACCTCAGCCTCCCAAGTAGCTGAGACTATGGGTGTGTGCCACCACACCTGGCTAAGTTTTTTTTTTTTTTTTTTTGGTTTCTGGTAGAGACAGAGTCTCACTATATTTCCCAGGCTGATCTGGAACTCCTGGGCTCAAGCGATCCTCCTGCCTTGGCCTCTGAAAGTGCTGGGATTACAGACCTGAGCCACTGTGCCCAGCCAAGATTTTCTTTTTTAATAACACAAAGACCAAGAGGCTCCCCAAACAGAAAAGTGATGAATGATATGAACTTAGTGCTAGGTTCCAGTTCAAGAATGCAGACTGATGCTGAAATGATGGCACAGATTGAAAGGCCAAGGACAGTTTCTGGCATCAAAGCCTAGGGCAAGGAGTTCAGGAGGCAGGGGGCGGAGACTAAATGCACATAAGTTGAGGATAATAAGATGACACAGGGCAGTCACTCAGAATTCAGTATACCACTAATGTGCATGTTTTGAATGCCTCAAGTCAGGCCAAAACTATTAGCCTTATTGAGCATGATTAGGTGTGCTGCTTTTCAGACAGTTACTGCAATTACATACTGTGCAGTTCAGTTCAGTGGTTGGTATAGTTAAGCAAGGGGGTGCCTGTATTGAAAGATTGTGGACTAGGTTTGCCTGTATTTCTTGTTTAAAAGTTGATTCTACTGTTACATTTGTTCTAAACAGTTGCATCAGTTTATATTAGCAGTTGATCATCTCTTGCCCATTGAAATCAATGTGATTTAGAAGCAAGATATAGAATCTGGAGTTAGGTAGTCCTGGGGCCTTCATTTACCACCCTTAGTTTATTGTCTGTATAAATGTGATAAATTATGTTTACCTTATAAGTGTTAAATGAGTGAGCATGTGTGGATATGTGGCTGGGCGCAGTGGCTTACGCCTGTTATCCCAGCACTTTGAGAGTCTCAGGCAGGCAGATTGTTTCAGCCCAAGAATTCGAGATTGGCCTGGGCAACATGGCAAAATCCTGTTTCTATAAAAAGTACAAAAATTAGCAGGGCATGGTGGTGCACACCCGTAGTCCCAGTTACTCAAGAGTCTGAGGTAGGAGAATCGCTGGAGCCTGGGAGGTCAAGGCTGCAGTGAGCTGTGATTGTGCTACTGCATTCCAGCCTGGGCATCAGAGTGAGACTTTGTCTTAAAAAAAAAAAAAAGAAAAGAAAAAAAAAAGAAAAAAAAGAAAGGGCATTTACTTGGAAGCATTCTTGGTATTCAGTAAATATTCACTGCTTTCTCCCTTTACTATTTAATATTCTCTGGCTTCATAAAATTTGACTCTTATGACTTCTGTGCTCTTATTCACGTGAGGCTTCTATTTAATTATCTTGTCAACTACTATGTGGTTGATTTAAGGTATGTGAAACAAGCATTCATCTGTTCCACATCATGTTTCTCCCTGGGACCACATCTATCTTATATTAAGTGATCTTTGAAGCAGCTCTAATAGGAATTGGTCCCTTGGGACAGGAAAACACCTGCTCCTGCTCTCTCTTGTGCTCGCACGTCCCAGGAGTCCTGACCTGTGTATTATCATAGGCAACACCACCCAGGACACCTGGCCATCTTCCATTCATGGCCTCCCCTTTGGTGAAGAATGTCCTCAATATTTGTGGCAATTAGCAGCTATTCTTGGGTAACCTTTAGTTAAAAGAGAGTAGTCTCATGGGCTAAAGACTAAAAAGAAGACGTGTAATAAAATTCCAGAGAAACAAGTCAACTCTGTCAGTGTTTATGTGAAAAGAGATCTGGGAGATCAGTGCTCAGCCTTCCCCAACAGATGCACAATGTTTTGTAGCAGGGAATTGGAAAACAAACTTTGACTTGGGATTCATTGTGTGACTCTTCATTCCACCACCAACAATCTGTGTGACTTCAAGCAAAACAGCTACTCCTGAACTTCTGTTTCCTCCTGTATAAAAAGGGGATACTGAAGCATCTAATGGTTTGTTGGAAGGAATGAACTGAAGATCAGTTGTAATGCTCTAAGACAAAGCTGGCTTATGATAAATGCTAGTCTCATTCTCCTTGTTGTCTTTTGAGAATTGCCCTTTGTTTCTTTTATGAAAATAACATTTCCATCTTTCCCATCCCACTTTTTCTTTTAAAACTGCTTCCCTGTACACATGGGGCAGCCACCCAATAGCTCCTGAAGGGATATACATGTATCTCTTTAAAGGGGATGCAGCTGTCTGCATTGTTTGCATTGCTTGCACAGTGGTGGGCACTGGTGTCATAACCCATTGCCATAGCTAAGCCTTTCTCTTTGGTATGGCTGGCTGTGTGCATGCACTAGAACTCGGTATGGTGTATTTCCCCAGAGCTCAGTCAACAAGGAATTGCTAAAATGAAATGCCATTTCTGCTGACTGTAAATGGAAGACCCTATTTTCTTTCATAAATGTGTGAAAATTCAAATAATTACCCTACTATTTGATGTCCAAGTTGGTAAAGATCAACTAGCAGTAAGTCCCAGCATTTAGTTATAACATATTTGACTTTTGCTTTGAGCCCAAGAATCTTCAACATACTTGGCTGTAAAATGGGAATATCAAAGCTCATGTGTTCTCACATGATTTTTATGGAAAGCAAATGTATAATGTACCTGACAAGGAGACATAGGTATTTGTGTGATGGCCTCAACATCATATTAAAACCACCAGTGATTTTCTTATTGATATGTTAATCTCTTATCACATGGGAACTTTTTTCTTTGATGGTCAGTTTGCTTTCATCTTGAAAGAAATCAATTGTTGATGTACGCTGTGTGTTAATTGCTTCGTTAATACTGCTCTGGTACAATAACCAACTGTAGCTGAAATAATTTGGCATGTTCAGTACTGTTCACGTTGGATAGTAAGTATTGTGTGGTTAAAATGAAGATATCTATGGCAAACTTGCAACAATCCCAAAACATTGCTTTTCTGGTTATATATCCAGAGGCAGTTTTTTTTTTCCCATATTCATTAGTGGTCATCGCTCTCCACAGGCCATTGCAATAGATAAGTAGGTAGTAACCAGGGTAAAGAATTAGGTTGCCTAGAAGGTCAGTGAACCATACAGAACTTGCATATGACTAGCTGATGCCTAGTTGTTGAGGTGAACATTGTGATAAAATCATATTTGCTGGGAGTGGCTGACAGAAAATATTTTGTGAGTGAGTTAAACACCTCACATCTTGACATAAGGCATGTATCAAGCTGTTTATGACAGCATCTGATTCAGAAAAAGTACTTTTTTCAGTATTAACCATCCAATGCAAATATTTAAAGCCTGCTTTTGTTTCTATCAAAGAGAATGTTGGGACAGAGATTGTAAAAGAGAATAGAGCCTGCATATTTTCAGATCCTACTGAAATACAGCTAAACTTAGATTGTTTATAGAGAATTGCACATTTCAATATTTTAGTATTTGTCTTACTCCAAATGTCGTTTGGGTTGTCTGGGATTTTATCCTTGGAATATATTGCAAGTGATCTCTGTGTTATTCGCCTCAGCTCCTGAATTCTGATTTATCGTCTCTAGTAAGCAAGCCAGTGAGCATCACACAGGAGATTCTCAGGGCTCAGTCATTCAAGAAGTGTGGACTGTTGAAATTTAGGCTTTGTGTACAATCTGGGTAACAAACCGTAAAGGCATGTTTTCTTCCTAAAGCTCTATGGAAAAGTCATTTGCCATATTACTTCCCCCAACAGCGTGCACCCTGATGTGGAGAGATGCAGAGTGTGGTCCAATAATAATATTGACCATATGCTTTTCTAAGGCAAGCAGACATACAGTAGATACTTTAATTTTGGTCGTTGGGGTATGGAAGGAGGTGGGAAGTGGAGAAAGGAGAGTAACCCATTACCTGTCTGGCCTAAGCTTGTTATGATCTGACAGATGGGTAGCCCCAGGGCTGCTTGCAAAAACTATTTCTTTTTGTCTCCATCACAGAGCCCTGGGGTGTGGTACAGGGAGGGTTGACCAAGAGAGGGGAGGCTTCCCTGATGGAGTGTGAGGTCTGGCAGCAGGACCTGACAAAAGTGAGTAGACTGTCTGGGTCCAGCCAGCTATAAAAGGAAAGAACAGAATAACAGCTACAGCTCGGTGGGAGTTCTAGTACCTGGATTTTCACCCAGGTGGATGCCAGGCCTGATTGTCTATCTCCTGAGGAATTTCCAGACTTTGTCAGAGTTCTTCAGGAACTGACCAGATCCAGTTTGCAGGTTGGGGGTCATCACTATTTCCATTGGGTCAAATTGGAGTAAGCAGATACCAAGAGTCACTTACAAATCACTAACATCTATTAGATACTGACCATTCTCTCATTTTCTCACATCAACCATGTGAGATAGGTATTATTATTGTTCCTGTTTTATAGATGCAGAATCTGTGATTTGTCTGGAACCACAGCTATAAGTGGTGCAGCTTGGATTTGATCTCACATTTGATTTTCCCTGTGATCCCTGGGATCTGGCTTAGGTTTGGATATGCCTCTGAACAAATGGTAAACAAGGGAACCTAAATGTCCATAGGTGTCTATTTACCTGGTTGTCCTTAGTTCAGCATCTTTAAAATACAAAAATAGATTTGTTGAGAATACTCATTTCCATTATTTTAATGAGAATAACAACTCAGCTAACTTTTAACATGAATATACACTAAAACCAAAAGTATTATGCTGATGGCAATCTCTACTTCCTTCTTATTAAAGCTTATGAGCCATGGAGGACCCTGCCCAGCCTGAGCTGCCCAATGTGCCTGCGTTAGCCAGCCTCAGTGTGTCCCTTTGTAAAGCGCCCCAGACCTTTTGAGTAGGGATGACCACTTCTTAATTCATGGTATTTATCAGTAATCATGCATATGCAAAATTTTCAACTTCTGCTTAGAGCCTTTACTAATTTATTTCTGTGAATGCTCTGATTCCTTCCAAATGACTCTGTAAGATGATGGTTGCAGGCTTCATTAGTTCAACCTTCAGAATCACTCAATGTTACAGTCCCAGTTTTCTCTCTCTTTTACCCAAATAGGCTTTACCTATATTAATGATTGTTGCTGGGCTCTTCGACAAGATATTTCAAGAATGGGAAAAGCGTTTTAAAAGAAGTTTCATGAGGCTTTGGAATTCACAAGCTGTGAGCAGCACTGGCAGATATTTTTCCAGGGTGTTCATTTTTATTCATTTCCTTATAGCTTTTATGGCTAACCGTTCTAAGACATATACAGTGCTGTGTTGTGATCAAATTTTCTCCTCTGATAGAAGTCAAACTTTGAAAACTTAGATTCCTAGAATTGTTGAACATTCTAATCAAAAACTTCTTTGAGTCAATCCAGTTTAAAATATCACTGATTGCGGGGGGGTGGCTCACACTTGCAATCCCAGCACTTTGGGAGGCCGAGGTGGGAGGACTGCTTGAGCCCAGGAGTTCAAGACCAGCCTGGGCAACATAGCAAGACCCCATTTCTAAAACAAACAAGCAAATAATAATAAAATATCACTCATATTTTAGTTCTTTCTAACCCATGGTTGATACTCTCAACCACAGAGTGAGGAACTTACTTTCTGCCTACCATTTAATCTTTGATCTCTAAAGGTTTGGACCAAATGGCTTTTTTGCCGTAAGCTTAAATATCTTGTCTTATTTTTTTTTCCTACCTATTTGTCCAGGTTGTTTTCTTTGCATTTAGGACAGTGGTTCTCCATACGTGTGCATCAAAATCACCTGGAGTATAAAATACAGATTCCTGGGGCTGGCTGTGGAATCTCTGATTTGGCAGGGTTTAGGGAGAGGCCTGAAACTGCATTTTTAACATGTTCCTGGGTCGTATTGATGATACTGATTCTCACCTTGGGAATCACTGACCTAGGAAATGTCTTCTCTTCATCCAAAGAAACCCTTACAATCCCCAAAGATGCCTTTTTTTCTCCTGGCTGAACAACCCCAATTTCTATGACTTTCCTTTTTAGACTTCAGCTTCTCCACCATCTCACCATCCACACTTCTTGCTTGCCTGTCCTGCTTGCCTATCACTCACTGAATTTCAGGGAGCCAAACTGGCAATATAAATGAGTGAACCACCACAGGTGGGGGTGAGATGAGTCAGATAGGGAAGACAGCAGAGACTGTCTACCCGGAATCAACTGAGGAATGCAGACCTCACCCAAACAATTCACATTCCTGTTTTTTTGTTTTTGTTTTTGTTTTTGTTTTTTTTTTAAGCATCAAGCCTACCTAATAAAATATGAATTATAAAAAATAATTCAGTTGCCTAGATTTGACCCCAATGAATGATAGTTTGAGGTCTTAAAATATAATTAAAATGCAGCTTGAACCTGAAAGTGGCAGACTATCAAGTTATTATCCCCAGTTGTTTGGGTTTCTATTACATGAATCCAGTTATAAAAATAACACTTAATACATTATAAATTCCTAATTAGGGAGCTACCCAGTAACTGATTATATTGACAAAGTCATGCCATAAATAAGAATTAAAAAGTTAATATAATTGATTAGCTAGGATGCCCTCACTCTTGTTTTTGCCATTATTTAAAATTTAATTGCTTTGCAACATTTCCAGATGTTGATTTTGGACATTTTTTCATGTGTTTTATTGCCTGTGAGCAGTTTTTATGTACTTGTAATCGGAGCTTTTCACGTTTCTTGGATGTAGAAAAATCAATTAAAATGAAGCAAATATTTTTGAAACCTAACCAGACTTTTGTCTTTGTTTTCTCATAAAGTTCCTCCATAGAAATGTGTGGCATGGGAACAGAGCCTAATACTTTCTGAATAAGATATTAACAGGCTTGTAGTGGATGCTGGGAATTTAGAAAGCTCTGTTTTTTTTTTTTTTCTAAAGCCTCCCAGTAGAATGTCAGACTAATAAATGGACTGCATATTTCCACAGTGTTTTTATGACATGTTTCACACACTGTCTTGGTGCAGATATGAGAAAGCCCTTGTCCACAGCCCAGTTCTGACTCACTCATTAATTTTACCTTGTATTCAGTTTTCTTGGGGTGGATCTAGACTAGAATAGAATAGAATAAGCCGACCTTTAACTACAGTCCTTAAATGAGGAAATCTCCACCCTGGGCCAGCTGTGCCAGGAATCCCGACGAGATGGAACTCCGCTGTGGTTTATAGGCAGGGCTGATTTTCAGGGGGGAGTGCACCCATCTGGACTCCCTGCTGTTCCCATCAATCTATTCCAGCCCTGGTACCCCTGGACCACCCTACTGTCCAGCAACTAAAGGATTAACAGGAGCCACCTCCAGGAGCCTCCGGGACCCTTCAGAAGGTGTCTGATTTGATGGATCAGAGGCTAGGCCACTGCCAGCTCTCTGCACATATTTTACATATCACCCATTTGCAGGTGTTGAAGACCGGTAAGTGCCCAGGAGCTGGCAGGTGTTGCAAACATGTCAGTGTACCTGGTGGGGGCGCTCCTGCCCAGCTGATAGGAGACAGCTTCTACCCAGCCCACCCCTTTGGTGGCTACACCAGCTTGGCACAGTCTCTCATTGCTGAAGAGCATCCCCCCGCCAACTCCGCCCAATCCCCACCTCCAGTCTTGACTACTTTTCATTGGTTTGTTTGTTTAAATTGACATCTCCTGATTTTCAAAACCTTGCTGATTAACAAAGCAAAAAGAGCACACACAAAAAAAAAAAAAAAAAAAAAAAAGTCAAAAACAAAGCAAAAAACTCTCAGTCTAAAACAGATAAACAAACCAACAAACAAAGCCCAGGGGCTGCTAGAGGTTGACTCTTGTAAACTGCAAGAACGGACACCACAAACTCCAGAGCAGAGGGCGCCTGGACATTCCAGTGACTTCATCAAGCAGTAAAATATCCGTCTTTCATCTGCTTCTGCTGATGACCAATACTATGCCTGTCACAATTTCCAGTCTTTTAGAGCTACTCTTTGATTACACACAACCGAGACTTTTTCTAAGCCTAGGACATTTTCTGTGTCCTTTTAAACATTGTTTACATCAAAATAATGATATGGATAGGTAAAAGAAAAATACAAAACTACTTGTGCTGTAAAGTAGTTCTATTTTAGAAAAGGAAATCTTGACAAAACTTGAGCCTTGTTAGGAAAAAAGAAAAATGACAAAGCAGTCATGTACAGAAAGCCTGGATAGGATTTTCAATCTCCTTGTGCAAAATCTGGCAAAAATGTATGCTAAGGGTCCAAAGCAGGAAGTGCTCAGAAAGCAAATACAGAAACTCAGCTTAGCAAAGGGGCGAAGCCAGAGAGGGATATAAAGGAACAGAGGAACGGCTGAGGATAGAGGTGAGGAAGCTGGACTCACACAGACTGGGTCTTGCTCAGCCTTCTGCAGTACCAGTGTCAGGGCCAGGCACACAGGAGTGACTAGGAGTTTGAACTGAAATAATGCATGACTAAGAATTAATTTGGGATGGTCTTCAGGTGGAATGATTGGAAATGTTGTTTTACTTTTAATTTTTCAGTACATGAAAGAAAAGATGCCTGTTTTCTAATCATTGAAATCTTATTATGTACAGAAATTTTCCTAGCAGAGCACACGAGGATGAAAAAGAATCAGATGGGAGATGAGGATCAGGACTCTTTCTGTGAATCGGAACCTCTCTGCTCTGCTCCTTTTCTGGTTTCCTCTGTCTGTCCTTCTCTTGTCTCCATTATTCATCCTGTTTCTGCCTTGATGTCATCTTGTTGGATGTCCCATCTCACTTAGTCGTCTGTAATTTGTAAGTAGCATTTAAATTATTTGTGGTCTTTATCTAATAAAGCTTTATTCTCTCTGGTCTTGATGAATGAAGAAGGCAAACTGAGCCTTGTTTTTTCCCTTATTGTCTTACTTCCCCAAAGCACCTGAATGAGTTCTGTGTGGTCTTTATTGACCTGTGATGATCACTGTCCCATAAAAAAAGCATGGTAGCGTAGTGCTTCAGCATAGGCTCTGCTCAGAAGACTTGGATCCCAATCCTTACTCACTTGTCGAGGGAGTTTGAACAAATAAGTGAATTTCTATTGACCTCACTCTTTCACATATGTATAAGGGGAATTGTAATAGTACATGTTTTTTTAGGTCATTAAGAGGATTAAATAGATAGAATATAAAATACGTTAGCATAAGTGCCTGGGACAGGGAGAATACTCAGCTAAGTTGGAAATCAGGTGTTGGCAAACTTTTTCTGTAAAAGGCAAGAAACTAAATATTTTAGGCTTTGTGAGTCAAAGTCTCTGTCTTAACTCCTTAACTCTGCCATTGTACCGTGAAAGCAGCCACAGACATATGTAAATGAGTGAGTGTGGGTCTGTTCCAGTTAAACCGTATTTACAAAAAGGGACAGCAAATAAGATTTGGCTCATGTCTCTCAGTTTGGCGATCCTATTGTAGAATATAGTTTTGACATACTGGAAACAGCTTCTCTGTAAGTTAGGATCTGCTTTGTTGCTAACTAATTTAATGTGAAATTTAATTGACCTATCCATATGCTACATCTGACAAATAGTTTGGCACACAATTTGCTTAGCCTTTGTATCTCGAGGACCAGAGAAGTTAAGTACGTTTGGCCAAAAGTCACCCAGCAAATTGATGACAGATCTGGGGCAGAGTTCAGGGCTCGTGTTCTCAGTTCTGAACTATTTCTTTTTTTTTGAAATGTGTGTTATCGGGGACGTAGCTCTGTGATATCAAGAGACTGGGACTGAAGATCTAGTTTTGCCAGTTGCGGAACCTCAGATTTGTACCACTCACTATATTTGGACCTCAGCTCCCTCATTGTCAAATAGATAATAATTCCCATCTCACAATTTTACAGTGTGAAAACAAGAAAATGCCATATATGGAAAATGCCATATATTTGAAATCTCTATTGCTGTGGTTGGCCAGCTTCCTTCCTGCCTTCCTTCTTCTCCTTCTCCTTCTTCTTCCCCCACCCTCCCCTCTCTCTCTCTTTTTCTTTCTCTTTCTCTTTTTCTTTCTTTCTTTCTTTTCTTTCTTTTTCTTTTCTTTCTTTTTCTTCCTTTTCTTTCTTCTTTCTCCTTTTTCTTTTATTACTTAATTAACAAATAATAATTGCATGTATTAATGGGGTACAATGTGATACTTTGATACACACACGCGCACACACACATTGTAGAAAGATTAAACCAATTTAGTTAACATTTATCACCTTATCTACTTATAATTATTTTGGGGATGAGAACTTTTAAAATCTACTCTTTTAGCAATTTTAGCTATGTAATATATTTTTATCAGCTATGGTCACCATGCTATGTTACAACTTATTCCTACTGTTTAGCTGAAACTTTTTACCTTTTGGTCAACATTGCACCTTTCCCCATTCTCCCTATCAACCTCTGATAAACACCACTGTACTCTCTGCTTCTATGAGTTTGACTTTTTTAGATTCTACATGTAAGTGAAATCATACAGTATTTGTCTCTGTACTTAGTTTATTTTACTTAACATAATGTCTTTCAGTTTCATCCATGTTGTCACAAATGACAGAATTTCTTTTTTGTGTAAGGCTATATAGTATTCCATTGTGTGTGTGTGTGTGTGTGTGTGTGTGTGTTTTCTTTATCCTTTGATCATTTGGTGGGCAATTACATTGCTTTTATACCTTGGCTAATGTGTATAATGCTGAAATGAATTATGAGTGCAGGTATCTCTTTGACTTACTTATTTTAATTCCTTTGGGCATATACTCCGTAGATGGATTGCTGGATCATATGATAATTCTGTGTAATTTGGGGCGGGGGAACCACTACACTGTTTTCCATAGTGGCTACACTAATTTACATTTCTATCAACAGTGTACAAGGGTTCCCTTTTCTCTGCCTCCTTGCCATCACTTATTATCTTTCGTACTTTTGATATTAGCTATCCTACAGGTATGAGGTAATATCTCATGTTGGTTTTAATTTGTATTTCCCTGACAATTAGAGATGGTGAACTTTTTTTTCATATATCTGTTGGCCATTTGTATGTCTTCTTTTAATAAATATCTATTCAGGATCTTTATTCACTTTTTGATTTGGTTATTTCTTTTTTTTAACATTCAGTTGTTTGAGTTCCTTATATATGATGGATATTAGCCCCTTATCAGATGTATGGTTTGCCTATATTTTCTCCCAATCAGGAGGGTGTCTCTTCACTCACTTCGTTCTTAATTGTTTTCTTTGCTATGCAAAAAGTTTTTAGTTTGGTGCAATCCCATTTGTCTGTTTTTGCTTTTGTTGCCTATGCTTTTGGGGTCCTATCCAAGAAATCGTTGCCCACACCAATGTTGTGAAGCTTTTTCTCTACATTTTCTTCTAGTCATTTTAAATTTCAGGCCTTATATTTAAGTCTTTAATTCACTTTGAGTTGATTTTTGTGTATGGTATAAGACAAGGGTACAATTTCATTCCTCTGCATATGGATATCCAGTTTTGTCAGCACCATTTATTGAAGAGACTGTGCTTTCCCCATTGTATATTCTTGGCACCTTTGTCAAAAATCAATTGACTATAAATGTGTGGGTTTATTTCAGGGCTCTCTGTTCTGTTCCATTGGATTATATTTCTCTTTTTATGCCAGTACCATGATGTGTGTGCTATTATAGCTTTGTAATATATTTTGAAATCAGGAGTGTAATGCTGTTTTGCTTTTTTTGCTCAAGATTGCTTTGGCTATTTGGGGTTTTTTTTTTGTTTCATATAAATTTTAGAATTGTTTTGTCTATTTCTGTGAAAAATGCCATTGGAATTTTGATAGAGATTGCATTGAATCTGTAGATTGCTTTGGGTAGTTTGGACATGTAAATGATATTAATTCTTCTAATCCATAAGCACGGGATTTCTTTCTGTTTGTACATGTTGCCTTTAATTTATTTTATCAATTTTTTTTGGTTTTCACTTCCTCAATTAAATTTATTCATAAGTTTTCTTTTTGAAATACTATTGTAAATTGGATTGCTTTCTTAATTTCTTGTTTGTATAGTTTATTGTTAGTGTTATAGGAAATGTACTGATTTTTGTATGTTGATTTTGTAACCTACAACTTTATTGAATTCTTTTATCCATTCTAACAACTTTAGGTGAACACTTTAGGGTTTCTTCTATATAAGATCATCAGCAAACGGAGACAATTTCACTTCTCTTTTTTATTTCAATGCTTTTTATTGTCTATAAATTTATTGACTGCTCTTTAATCTTTCACCTACTTTGTAAGATAAATTTAGTGAAACAGGTTAGACAGCATGGAGGACTCTGATACAAAACGATTTTATAAAAACACACAGATATAAATGTTTTCTGATTAATGGCCATTAGCTAGTTTCCCAATCAGAGCACGTTTTCACCTGTGCTCTTTAAATTGCTTTCAATGTAGAGTTACAAAATGGAAACTTAAGGGTCAGAAAAGGTCAAATTACATTAATGACAGTCCTCATGATAGTGTTGATTTAATCAGGATGCCTACCTTTGTTCATTTACCTTTTAAAAATAAGTATAATATATTGCAGATCACTAATACTGCTGTTAGAGAAGGTGGTTATTGTATTAATGGGATATCAGTAACCTTCTCTCTACTGTGACATGGATTACTGTAATTATGAAAGAGACATAAGGAAACACCATAAGCACTATCCATTGGGCCCCAGGCTTCATTAGTTCTCATATGGCTGTGTAAAAATGCTAATTACAAACATATCGTAATAAAAAGGGTATGGCTTAATGCCAACATGTACCTGCTAATTTGATATTTATGATGGTAGAGTGAAGCACATATAATCAAAAGCAAAGAGACTTCAGTAGAGCAGCATTCTGTATTTTGCTGACTGAAGAAGGCTGTGAGATTATCCAGCCATTTATTTAATTAAAATAATATTGACTGGTGACCATGTTATTTTATTTAGTAGATGTGTAAGCATATTCATTTAATTTTCAATATTTATATTTCATGTGATTATAAAAATGATAAAAGCTCAATACATAACAGGTAGTATGGACATGTACAGAAAACAAAGGTAGCAGAATCCTCTAAACTTTAGCTGCTTCCTGGTCTACATTTATATGCACCTTTCTCACTAGAAAACATATCGATTATTTTCTGAATTGTAATTGTTCAATTTAAAAATAATTTTAAATAAGGAAATGTTGGGGAACTGATATAGCTCAGTGTTGAGGCAGAGATGTTCCTCTGTTCATATGTTTTGGCCATTTTTATGTGAAGCTGTAGAGAACAGTGACTAGGGTACTTGTGCTAACATTGTCCTCCTTATTAAATTGGACATACATCATATTTTAGGGCAAAATTTCACTTTCTGATTTCTCAGAAAGCAAAAGCGATATCAAAAAGTATATCAATCTACACTTACATAGATTGATTATAACATTTTCATTTATTTTTTTTTTCACAAACACTCATTGTGTTCTGTCTGTCTTTGGAATGAGATATACCTGAATTTCAGTCTCAGCTTTGCTCCTTAACAACTGGAAGGTATGTCCATGTAACATGATCCCCCAGGCCTCAACTTCCTCATCCAAAATCTATAGATTAAAATTTGTCTTCTCAGGTATTGTGAGCCTTTTGTGAGATCATCTTTATGAAGTTCCTGGCAAGAACAGGTACTCTGAAACTGTTAGCCAGCATAATGTCAATATCACCTCCTATTATTAGTGCCATGGTATTTTGTGAAGTGTCTTATTAACATAAATATACATGGGTAAACATTTTCACAAGGATGTCTGTAAAAAAAAGAAATTTCTAGTGAATTTCCAGAATTGGAAAATTGTGGAATTTATCCTTCATCAGATTTTAGCTCCAATGGTGTCTACCTGCCAGAGTGCTTTGAAGGAAGATCCATGGAGTTTAAGATAAAGTTAGCTTGTTTTACAGTACCTGTTACTTTTATAGGTTTTTTTACATTTTAATAGCTATTAATAATATAGGTATGATTATCAGCATGAAGCTCCCATACAAATAAGTTTATGTTGAAAGTGTCAATCGTCATTAATATCCCATAAGAAGAAACTATTTAAAACTTCATAGGAGTTCATACATGGGGTTCCCATGGCAACAATGGAGCTTATAATTTTTAATTTATTGCTTAATTTTCTCTAAACTACATTGTCATTGCATCGGCAGGAATCCCAGTCTGTAGTAATGATGGGGATTAAATGGTCATTATGAAGTTGTTCAACATTCTTGTGATTTGCTTCAGGGAACATTGGCTTTGGGTATCTTTGAATGTACTATTAAGCATTGTTAAATCCATTTAAAATAGACTGAGTTTACAGGGAAATGAAGTATATTTTCTTATTGCAATTTATCATCCAGTAATAATGGTAAATATTGCAAGTCAAAATTTAAGGCCAAATGTAACTCAACAGTGAGCTGACTAATGGCTGTCTTGTGCTTAAAGAAAGTATATTGCTTTTGCATTTAACCAAATGGTCATTGAAAAGTATAAAAAGATATTTAATAGCTACAAGTCATATTCCAGAAGGATTCAATCTGTAATATAAAATGAGCCAAAGGAATCGGTTGCTGTCTTGTTAAAGAAGATAATCATTACCTGAGATTTTATTTTTCTTATAAGTATCTCCTCCTATGTCAAGGTCAAACTGATAGCAGGTTAGAGGTTTGTGTCTATGGACATCTATTTTGCAAAATACAGCTATTCATAAACTAATCCTGAAATCATTTAAAATATTGCAGGATCAATTCAACATACCTATACAGTGTCAATTCAGGGAGGTCAGGAAAGTCTGTAAGGGAGAAATGGAATATTAGCTGGGAAGCATGGGGAGAATCCAAACAGAAGGGAGGCAGGGAATAGGCAGAAGAATGACAGACATGAATACCATTGGCAGAATGTTTGTGGTGTTATTGTAAGTTAAAATGTTAAGGGAGAAGGAGGCATAGAAATTTGCTTTCCAGGTGGGAAATTTGATCAAGAGTCTATCTTTTAGGAAACAGACAAGATGGAATATAGATCTTCCAGCTTGTAGTATGTTTCAAGTGTTTTAAGAATACAACCCAAACATTATCAAGTGATGTTTTAGGCAAAGGAGAAAGTAATGTGCATGATACTGAATGTTCCTGTGAGCATCAAGGAACGTGATTAGCATCGGGAGCCCTGTGAAATTGTCTAGGTCACTCACATACCTTTGTGTTCCTTTAGGATTATTACAAAAAACACTCCTATCAAGGTAGTTTAGAAAACATGATCTCCATTTAATAGAAAGGGGATATTTTGTTTTTCTAGAGTGGTAACTGAACCTTGATAAGGAAAATATGCAGAAATGAGTGAAAAATGGGGCCAAGTTGTTGACTACATTGAATAAAATGTTAGTCAACATCAAAGTCCTTTTATGAAGGAAACTGAATTAACATGTCATTTATTCATTGTTACAAATAATTTTCAGTTAAACAAGTGAATATTTTCTCCAAAATGGCTCTAAATTTAATTGTCATCTAAATGTTTGAATATTTTGGCTTTTTTAGTCTCCTGTGAACATGTCTGTTGGTCTATGGTGTCTCACGGTGTATGTGCTCCTGTGAGCATGTCTGTGTGTATGTCTATGTCTGTGTCTCCGTATGTGTTGTATTTGAAAGTCTAAAATAGGAGGCCCTTTAAGAGAAGTGTTTATGATGTTAAAATCTCAAGTCTTTTCATGGAAGTGTGTCTGCGCAGGTAAATTGGATGTATATTTCTCTCTGAATGATCTGACTGTTGGGTTTAATAAGGCTATAGCTGATGCCAGTTGTGTTGAGGAGTTTGCAAATTTATTGTCAAATAAACTCTCCTCTTACACTGTTTTGAGATCATTCCTTTGGGCTTATGTACTTTTTCTTCACATGTAAGTAAAATGCCACAAATGCTTACTCTTGAAATCCTGAGAGAAGTGGCATATTATTTTTATGGGAATTGTACGATTCTTAACCACTGTCCTTGATTAAAATAAGAGCCTTTTTTCCTTCTTAAACCTGATCATTTTCACACTGGAAATGAAATCTTTCATGGGGATTAGTTTACTCACTCAAGCTTTCCATTCAGATGAAGGTGTGAAAAATACATGACAAGAATATTATTTAAATGCTCAAACTTCTGCATGAAGAGCATGAAACAAGAAGAAAATGATAGTCTTTAGCTGTAGATAGGTTTCAATTTTTTTTAGTAGGCTTCAAATTCCTTTTAAGACAAACAAAAAATTAAAATAGAAGACCAACTATGAAAATAATGATTTGATTTAATCTAAACTTCCATGAAGGCTGCAAGTTACAGATTAGGTGCATCACCTGAAAGTAACATTGCTGATTGCATAGCTTTGGAAGCTAGGTTCAATGATGTATATGCAAGTAACTAAGTTTCATATGCAATGGTTCTCTATTGCACTCAGGAAATTAGCCTGGCATTTAAAGCCATTCATCATCCAACCTCCTGACCACTCCAACACTATCTTCCTTCACTCTCTCAGCACTCCAAATATCTCTAACTGCTTGCAGTTTCCTGAATATATTACTGGTTTTCAAGTCTCTAAAAATGTTGCTTTCCCTGTCTGTCATGTTCCTTTTCTGTTGTTCCATCTATTGGACTCATCCTTTAGGATTTCATTCCGGAATCAGTTTCCTTCTCCAACATCTTCCTTTGGGTTACCTGGGTGGCTAACGCCCTCTGTTCTCTCATAGTACCCTGGGTTCACTCCAGTCATAGTTCTTTATACAGAATATTTTAAGCATGTTTATTTTTCTGCTTCTCTTATTAAGTAGAGAGAATCTAAGAAATAGAAACCATGCCTTCGTTAGTTTTTTAGTCCCATAGCATCAGGCTTCATCCCTGGAACATAGTAGGTGCTCAGTCAACTTTGTTGAGATAGACTTTGTGAGATGCAGCAGAATCAAGGAAGGTAAATGTCCTGGGTTCTATACAGAGGGAGTTAAAAATACAAATAAGAAGAAGTCACTCTTCTAAAGGAACTTGAAAAGGAAAAGATGCATAATTATCTTAAATATAAAGCTATGTGTGGATGCTGTCAGATGTTCACCTGGAAAGAGTCCTGGAATGAATGGAGCAAAAAATTCAAATTTCTTTTCACTGAGAGGTGGTGGAAAGCCTTCATGAATAAAGAAACATCTTGAGCTGAGCCTCAAGGATCCTATAAGAGTTGTTTATTGTTTGTTTGTTTGTTTTAGTGGATATTTACTGAGCTCACATAGCCTGTAAGAATTTAAGCTCTGTATTACCACTATGGTTGACAAGTGTGAATTTAATTAGCCCTTTTCAAAAAAATAATAAAAAGCAATCCATTTTACCTACCTAAACACAATAGAATCATCTAAATATCTTATTTTCAGTGGTTTTCTGATAGAAGATAATGCACTTATTCTGAAGTCCTGTCCCCTAGCAACACTCTTCTTCACCAGTCTGCTAATGGCTTGGCAGAAGAGGTAAACTCAGTTTTGGGGCAAAAGTTTTTTAAGCAGGAAATCATGCAAAAGTATAAACAGCAAACAGATTTTAAATTCTGAAGGTTCCTGGGAAAAGTCATAGGATACTGAATGCTTTGTCATGGCTATACAGATGAAAACATCGCTAAACAGAGTGAATCATAATAATGGATTTTGTAAGGAATTTCTTTTTTTTTGTTTTGTTTTGTTTTGTTTTTGAGACAGAGTCTTGCTCTGTTGCCCAGGCTAGAGTGCAGTGGTGCAATGGAATTTTTAAGGCATAGTTCTCTGTTTGCTTTTAACCCAAGCAAGAAGAAGAAATAGGACTGTAAGAGAGACAAGAACCCTATCAATTTGAATAACTCAGGGAATAGCAAAGTATTTGACTTTGAATGCAGGATTTCTCTAAAACATTGAATATTGAAGAGAATATTTTAAGGATAAAGACCAACATTCAGTTAGTTCTTGCTCAGTAAATGTGGTAGTAGGGAAACAAGTTCAGCATGTGATCTAAGTACTGGCACATGAATGAACAGCAAGGCTCATAAACAGCCAATGAGAAAATGAAGCTCACTGTTAATATGGGAAATATAAACTAGAATAAAATTATATTGGAAAAATTTTAAAAATATGTACAATACCTGGAGCCCTGGGGGTATGGAAAATGTGTACTATAATACACTGTTAGCGAGGTTAGACGTTGGTGAAGTCTTTCTGTCTTGAGACAAAGTGAATTGGCATGCTATTTCCTGAGAGAGGAAGACTGGGAAAGAACAAGGTATAGGGAAGTATTAAAAAACTAAGAATTCTATTTGGGAAATTTTAAAAGATTATTATCAAGAATTCAGGTGGGGATGTCAAATAAGCCATTGAGCCTGGAGCCCCAGGAAGTGGTTAGTGCTGGAAGAATTGGAGTCACCGGCATAGAGAAAGTACATGAAGTTATGGGACTTTAGTTATCAATCACTAGTTTCATAACTAGAGGTTGGTTAATGGTCTGCTATTGCAGGGTGCACTGTTCTCAGAATTTGTGTGGATATGATAACACAAGTCCTGAGTTCCAACTTTAAGGAGCATGAAATCTTGTTTTAAATACAGAAGCACCGACTATGGGGCAAGTGGTCCATTAAATATATAAAGCAATCACTTCCCCTTTTTTTGTACCTTTAGTAGGCCAGCACTTTGCATACATTGGCTATAATCTTCACATAGACATGCCGAGGTAGATATTTTTTCCCCAGTTTTACTGATAAGAAATCTCAGGCTCTGAAAGGATAAGTGAATTTTATATTAATACATTCACTGGATAGTAAATGGAGTTGCTGGATTTCCAGTCCTGGTCTATCTCATTGAAAGCCTGTTCTCTTTTCAACTGCCTTTCAGTAACAGGTGCTGTTGTCACTGAATCCTTAGCTTCCTGACCCATACTATCTGAATAATGATCCCTACATACTTCTAGGAAAGAAAGATATCAACTGCAATTACCCCTATTTGACAGATGGAGATCCTGGATTGCTCTAAGTTTAAGCAAAGCAATTAAGCTTGGCCAAGGTGTCTGCCATGGGAAAGCAGATTCACTCCATTGCTTCTTAGATTCAAATACTGCAATGTATTGATTATTGCATGAATATATTCAGTGGCTTGATATAACAAAGTGGCCCATCACTCTTGATCATTCTCAATATCAGTGTGCCCAAACCCTCAAATGACTTGCCGGAAGCTTATATATTAAGGGAAACTTCCAGAATGCAATGGAAAATGAAACTTTGTTTCACTAGAATAGATTCTGTTCTTGAAGAGAGAATAGGACAATAGATTTGGTTTTCATGGATCAATTCTCATTCTTCAAAACTTCTGCAATTATCTGTCGAATTTAAATTTAGCTCAAGTGAACACTAGTTTCCAGGATGGGTTCAGGAGCTCAAACTTGATAGCTAAAGGAGAGGTGAATGGCTAAAATACCTCCATTCTTGTGAGCTTAAATTTATACATAAAAGTGTCAAATCACTCCACAAAATCACTGAGCTTTCCTTTTTATTTTACTTTTTACATTTAATTGCTGGGCAGTTGAACATTACAGGGCAGGCTACTGCATCAGTACTAGGTGCCTTGCTCTGCCATCATTTTGTCAGTTGTTCTGTGTGTCAAATATATTATTCTGTTTGCAAAAGTCAGCCACTGACTTTTAACATTGTCATCATCTCATTCTATTCCCCACTCCTTTTTGGGCAGAGTAAATCTTTCTAAAGACAAGGGCAAGAGAAGTCACTAAGTTATTGGCTGCCCTTTTTCACTGAACCCAAAGAGAATACATTGAAGTGTCAAGTGAGTGAGCTTCCACCGCTTCTCAGCCTATCATCATTACTGGCAGAGAAACCAGTAAGTCAACCCAAGACAGCAACGGAGATATGTAACTATGGGATGTGTTGCTTTCAAGAGAATTGCAACTCAGAGCTCTTTCTAGCACGTGGAATCAATTTAACCCTTTTATACATAAGCCAAAGTCCTCCCTTCATGACTCAGTTATTTGAGTTAATAAAGCTCTCCAAATCTGTCTAGTCCTTTAGCTAAACAGTGTTAACTAAACCATGTGAATCTCCTCCTCTAATTAACAGCTACTTTATTAAAATGCTATTGCCCTGTTGGGAACTAGTTGGCAGGGTGACAGAGAATGGAGTTTGTGCTATGGACTATTGATTTTCAGTTAAATTCTTACTGTGCTCTTGGCTTTCTCCTGCTTGTGGCTTAAAGTACCCAAACCATTCAGGCCAGCAAAAGAGGCCACTTTGCTCTCCCTGGTTTTTATTGGCCTCTTTTCAGAAGGTCTAATTAACCTATGGAGTCTTCCAAATTTACCGACAGCTCTTTCATATTAATCTCTCTTCTAATATAAGAAATTTCTTTTTTAACCTTCCACTCAAAAAGATTATTTCAAAAAGTGCCCACAACTGAAGGAGTGACTTAATCAGGTTCTCAAGGAAAATGCCTCTCTTTACTTTGCACCTTAAGCTCTGCCATTGTTATTTTATGTTTTGTGCATATATGAACTTTTCATTCCTGTCTTTAAAATATTTATCAGTCATATAAAATTTGGATAATGGTGAGAAGCACAAAGAAGGAGATAAAAATCAGCAACCAGATACCAACTACAATATTGTAAATATTTAGGCAATATAGTCCTTGAGGACTTAGATTTTCGATTAGACATCACTGTCATTCATTACATCAGTAGGTGAATGAGACAAATTAATTCAGGAAGCTATAAATGATGGGAAATCTCTGGTATGTCAATGTAGGATAGGTGAAGGCTGGCAAGAGAGTTCTGGTTTAGAAGTGGTTAGAAAAGATCTCTGTGAAGGCTGAGGAGGAGCAATCTAGGCAATGCCTCCAGGTAGGAACATGGTTGTCCTGATTGAGGCTAGGACCTTTAGAGTCATGGACAAGGTAGGCCGTGGTTGATCTTAGGTTAGTAATGCAGGAGAAGACAGTTCATGTATGCTTTTGGTACTATGGTGAGGAATTCAGATTTTATTTTCAGTGTGGTGAGATGCCATTATTGGGCTTCAAGCAAGGGACCTATATGATAGGGTCTATAGGTTTTTGTTTCTCTCTTAAAATTTTTTTTTTTTTTTTGAGATGGAGTCTCGCTCTGTTGCCCAGGTTGGAGTGGAGTGGTGCAATCTAGTCTCACTGCAACCTCCACCTCCTGGGTTCAAGTGATTCTCCTGCCTCGGCCTCCTGAGTAGCTGAGACTACAGGCATGCACCACCATGTCTGGCTAATTTTTGCATTTTTATTAGAGATGGTGTTTCACCATGTTGACCAGGCTGGTCTCGAACTCCTAACAGGGATCCACCTGTGTAGGCCTCCCAATGTGCTGGGATTACAGGCGTGAGCCACAGCACCTGGCAAAATTTTTTAATTGGTACATAATATTTGTACATAATTATGGAGTAGATGTCATATTTTGTTACATGCATAGAATGTGTAATGATCAACTCAGGATATTTAGGATATTCATCACCTGGAGTATTTATCATTTCTGTGTGTTGGAAGATTTCAAGTCCTCTCTTCTTGCTATTTACAAATGTACAATATATTGTTGCTAACTCTAGTCACCTTATTCTGCTATGTAACATTAGAACTCCTTCCATCTAACTCTACATTTGTACTCATTAACCAACCCCTCTTTATCACTCTCACTCGAACCACTGCCCTTTACACACACACACCCTCCCCAGCCTCTGGTATGTATCATTTTACTCTCTACCTCCATGAATAACTCTGGCTGCTGTATGGAGAATGGATTTTAGAGAGCAAGAGTGCAAGTAGCAGGGGGGAGATTTGGAGTCAAGAGATGGCAGTACTTGGCTGAAGGTTGGTAGTGAGAGGTAAGAAAAGAAAACAGTCAAGAAAAATGATATTTTTGCTTATTCATATTAGGAAAACTAGGTGGGGAGCTAGTTTGGGGAAGGAAAGCAAATAAGAGTTCTGGTTTTGGACATGTGAACTTTCAACTTGGTTATAGTAGTGTGGAATTCAAGGGAGAAGTTAGGATTCAAGATATAAATCAACTAGTAAAGGAGAAGTTATAGGAGTTATTATAGTATTTAGCCTTCTAATCTTTTTCATGGTTTGATTTAATATTTTTAGAAAAGACTGGCACTCTAATATCTGTTTATGCCCTATATAACTTATTTATTAAAACATGGTATGTGCATTTATATATCTATGTATAGATAGACATAAAAAATATTTTCATGTATATTTTTATATAAGTACTATATTGCATTCCATTGTATGGATGCTACCATTTGCTAATCAGTTCTCTACAACTGGACATTTATGCTGTTATATTTTATTAATTTATAAATGTGGTAGCTTTTCAATAAATCTTGACAAATATTCAGTTTTTTTTCTAGAACAAATTTTCAATGAGAAGTAGTACTGGGAGAAATTTTAAGAATTTTTATATAAAAATACGATTTGCATTCCATATCAGACACCTAATGATGGATGCTCAATAATTATTTATTTGCAGACTGATTACAGTCTCATTAGGATTACATAAAGGTGACATTTTCTCTTGGCTTTGGCAAAACCGAATAGTGCAATTTATAATAATGTCAATTTTGTAGGCAAAATAGCTTATTTATTTTACATATGTAAAATTAGGGAAATGTTAATATTTTTCATACTTTTCATTAGGCATTTGTTCTTTTGTAAACATTCACTCATAGTTGTTTCCTGCTTTTGAATAGGTGATCATTTTTTTCCTCATTGTAAAAACTCTAAATACATATAGAATATTTAAATTTTTATCATAAATATATTACATACTTGTTTTCTTTCATATTTGTTATTTACTTCTTAATTGCATTTGTGAGTTTCTTTTTTTTGAGAGGGGGCGTGACAGAGGAATGTACAGGAGACTTTAGTATTTTATGTTGCTAAAGTAGACTTTTAAAATATTCTAAAGGAAAATAAGCCTTGGAAATCTAAGAATTATTTTTTGTGAATTGAAAAAATTCTCAATATTCCAACAGACTCAAATAAATAGCTGAGTAAAGCTAAGTACATCTAGTCAACATTTTAAAATCATCTTCCCATTTGTTTTCTTGCTATTCATTTTTTATTTGTCCCATCTGTTCTTTGTTCTCTTTTCCTGTTTTCTACTTTTTTTAGATTAATTGAATTTTTTATTTTTATTTTTAATTTATTATTAATTTTTTTTGTGATGGAGTTTCACTCTTGTTGCCCAGACTGGAGTGCAACAGCGCGATCTCAGCTCACCACAACCTCCGCCTCCCAGGTTCAAGCAATTCTCCTGCCTCAGCCTCCCCAGTAGCTGGGATTACAGGCATGCACCACCACGCCCGGCTAATTTTGTATTTTTAGTAGAGATAGGGTTTCTCCATGTTGAGGCTGGTCTCTAACTCCTGACCTCAGGTGATCCGCCCGCCTTGGCCTCCCAAAGTGCTGGGATTACAGGCATGAGCCACCAGGTCCGGCCTGATTGAATTTTTTAATGATTCCATATTATGTTCTTTGTTGACCTATTAGCTATAAATCTCTGCTTTGTATTTTAGTAGCTGTTTTAGGATTTTTCATATATCTCTTTAACTATTAAAATCTATATTTGTGATATTATAATACTTCATGTGTAGGAAAATTGCCTTACAATAAGTTTTTTCATTTTGCCTCTCCTGGTCTTTGTGGTATTGTTACATATATTTCACTTTTGCCCATATTATAAATACTATATTGCATTGCTATTATTTTTGTTTAAGCAATCAATAATTGTTTAAGGATATTTAAATAATTATGTCTATATATACACACATATATATGTATATATAGAAAAATATATATATTTACTAATTTAGTTACCATTTCTGGTGCTCTTCATTCTTTTGTTTAGATCAATATAATCATCTGGTATTATTTTCCTTCTGCCTGGAGGACTTGCTTTAACATTTCAAGTAGTGTGGGTCTGCTGCTGACGAATTCATACAAATTTTGTAAGTCTGAAACAGTCTTTATTTATCTTCATTACTGAAAGGTATTTTTTTCTCAGTAGTTTTTTTTTATTCCCTCCTTGGTATTTTAAAGATGTGCTTGACTGTCTTCTTGCTCGCATTATTTTGATAAGAAATCTGCCATCTTTCTTATCTTTGTTCCTATGTATGTAACGCATCTTTTCTCTCTGCCTGTTTGTAAGATTTTCTTTTTATCACAGATTTTTAAAAATTTGATTATGATGCACCTTTATATAGTTTTATTCTTTTTAAATTATTTTTTCAAATGTGGCTTCTATTTCAACTGATTGAATTTTTTCTTCCTCATTGGTCTTATTTTTCTGCTTTTTTTGCATGCCTAGTAATTTTTTATTCAATGTCAGACATTGCAAATTTTACTTGTTGGGAGATTTTATTATTATTCATAAAATTTTTAGTTTTATTCTGGCATGCAATTAATTTACTTGGTAAGTGTTTCATTCTGTTAGTTCCTGTTTTTATGATTCGTAGGCTGGACTAAGGCAGTATTCAGTCTAGAACTTATTATTTCCCTCTCCTTATATATGACTCTCTCAATAGTAAACAAAATGATTCTTAAGTCTGAATATGACTTAGTGGCAGTGGCATCCAAAGGGGCAGGGTGATGGGAGTGTTCCACCCTGTAGAGAATTTTATAATAATTGCTGTGTTTACTGTAAAATTTTATAAAATATGTATAAGCTTCATATTAGCACATTATTATTACTTATTATATTTTTTATATGAAGGTTAATTCAGAGAACTCCCAATTTCATAATTATCTCCTAGCACACATGGGCTCAGCCACAGTTATTTGTTTTCAGAATAAGTTCTTTTGGGTTTATCATTGTTTAAACTTGTGATAAGCGTTTGTTGTACTTTTGTAAATATTTGCTTATATTTACCACCTTCTTTTTAATACGTGATTGTTTTTGTTTTTCTCATTTTAAAAACTCCAAATACATAAAGATTATTGAATGGTGTGTTTATCATAAATATATTTCACACTTGTTTTCTTTTATGTTTGTTATTTACCTATTAATTGTATTAATGGGATTCTTCATTTTTTTGAAGGGGGAAAGCGTGAGAGGGATGTACAGAAGAGTTTCTTCTTTTATATTGCTAAAGTAGCCCATCTTAAGATTTTTTAAAGGAAAAAAAAACCCTTGGAAAACTAAGAATTATGTTTTGGAAATTGAATATTTGTCAATATTATTCCTCCTCCTTAGACATGACTCTCTTAATAATAAACAAAATGACTATTAATTTAACTCTGAATATGACTTTGAATATTTTCTCTTTGTGCAGCCTAAGATTGCTGCATTTGTCTTCTTTCTATGGTAGTACCTGTTTTCATGTAGGATCGTTCCCCTAAATGTTTGTCAACATTTGGCTGTCTGCTTATATTAAAAATGCTGTGCTTGAAACCTATTCCAAGGCTCTCCGTGGGTAGGTGGCTGGGAATTGTCCATTTGGCTTCTCTCTTGGAAGATCCCAGTAGGAAACCCTCAACATCAGTATCTTCAGGTCATATTCTTTGGAGTGGTCAGAGTCCCCAGAGAAAGAAAACATTCCTCCACTCTTCTACAGATGTGAAATACACTTGCCCATCAAAATATGGAGAGATAGATGAGGAAAGAATAATGAAAGTATCAATACATAATCTCGAGTTTTGAGCTTTTTCTTTTCTCACAATGTTACAACCTCATCCAACCAGACTACCTAGAATAGTGATCATGGTTGACATGTGCAGTCCTCACCTGTGAATGATATACCTCAGTCCTGGGGATTTCTGATTTACCCTTTGCAGGGAATTACCCTCCCATCTGTTTCCATAGTGGTGCAAGGTAATTAACCCAGCAGTGTGGAGTGGCCTAATGTGAGAGAAAGTTCTGTTTGTTTCTTAACCAGATTCACAGAAGTTCTCCATTTTTAAAATTGTGCTTTCTACATCCCAATTTTAGAGGTATCATTTCTGCCATTTTCTCAGATTTTGGAATTTTTAGAATCTAAATTGAGTTTCCATCAATTTTTCTGACTTCTAGATAAACTGTTCACCTTTCTCTGGCCTGCTGAGTCAGTTACATTATTCTCTGCTTTCTAGCATCCAAAAGGTGTTTTGTTGATTCTTATACCCTTTGTTCTTTTTAATTCATGCCTTCCTACAATTCCTTTACTAGAGATTTATTGCAGTTTCATGATGAAGTTGACCTCAGTACTGTATTCAGCTTACCATCTTAATACTCACATATCTGCAAACATCTTTCCATAGCAATTATGTGAAGAAAGCGACGAGCATATGTGTAAAATTTTATTTCAGCTTCATATTGGTATCTTTATGCACACCTGTGTAGTTCTTTTATTCTTATAATTCTAAAATGTTGGCTAGATGTACTTAGGTTTGTATAGTCATTTGTTTTGAATGTTAAGAATTTTCAATTTACAAAAATACTCTTTTTCAAGAGTGGCTATCTTTTAGGATATCTTAATCATTTTTTTTCCCACTTTTTAAAGATCTGGTATTTTCTTAAGGAACAATTATCTATATTTCAGAATTCTATACTCATCCTTCTTTATATATTATTAGTTTTTGTAACTTTGTATCTTTTGTTTTTCACTTCCCTTCTGAATTCTAAAAATGTTCTTGTGTTTTAATTTTTTTAATTTTTTATTTTTTTATTATACTTTGAGTTTTAGGGTATATTACTTACATCTCTGTAAAATGAATTTTGCTTAATACTACTTCCAGTGTAAATTTTGATTCTACAATTTGATTTGTACTCTTCCTTAAAATATTTCTTTATTTCACCTATCTTTCTTATAATTTCACTCATTTTGTTTTGCATTTCTACTTGCTCTCTCTGTAATATTTTTCCTGTTTTCTTAATATTCATTTATTTTTATTCTCTATTAAAGATTATGTGTAGTTTCTTCTAAGTTTTTCTGATCTTTCAGTATATCATTTTTATTATTCTGTTTTTTCTGAGTCTATTGATTTTTCTTTATATTGTTTTCCAACATTTCTTATTTTTTTCTTTATTCACCTTTAAATGAGGTAGGATTTTGGTTGATATTTGTTCTACTGTTAGCCTACTTGTGTGTAAACAAATTAGCTTCTCAGATAAGATTTCAAGACTTAAGTTTTTCATGTGTGTTTTTTTTTTTTTGATAGACCACTGATCTATGGATATGAGATATTTTCTATCTCCACTGTTTTGTTCTTTAATTCTCTGAACTGCTGTAGTGCATTAACAAATGTTAGTTTCTGGTTCACTTTTCTATATCCAAATTCTATACTCAACACATTACCAGAGATAACTTCACAACAGAATAGACCATTCTAATGGAGTCCCATCTGTTCCTGGCCTATGGGTTTCTGAAATATACCACCTTTTCTCTTGTGCAGAAAAATGGCATGGGTGAGAAAAGGTCTAACATAATGTTCAGCTCACAGAGTACTACTGTCCAAAAGACAGAGAGAGCAAGCATGTGGCCGGGTCTTCAGATTAGTAGTTACTTGACTTCTGAGTCAATAAACAGTAAGTAGGTAATATTAAAATCATAGCCCAACATTTTTCAGGCAGTACCTCTGTATTCCCTTGAACTTAATATGCGTCTTGTCCAAACCTGGGTATTTATTTTCTCCATGAAAATCCATATGGTTCACCATTCAACACCTGATTCTGAGTCTCAGCTTTTTCATTTATTAGTTGTTTGACCTTGGGCGAAGTCTCACTAAAGCTTAATTTTCTCATTTTTAAAATGGGGAATAATTGTGAGAATTGAATGAGATGATGTTTATAAAACTTGTGGTATATATATATATATATATATATATATATATATATATATATATGTAAATATATATAGGTATATAATAAGCATCATTAAATGTTAATGGCCATCATTACAAATAGAGTCAGCTTTTTCAAAATTGCCATTCGATTGCCAGCCTTCAGTTTTGATAGTATTGTGAGTTTCCATATTTTTCTTTTTCTCACCCCCAATTGATATTCCAATCAGAAGGTAGGAGAAGTCATATTATAAGTTAATATTGTTTCAATCCAAAATCTCTTTAATTTTAACATTTCTATGTTAATTTGATTTATGGGTGTTGTCAGATTGTTTTATGCAGTCTGAGATCATTTGTCTTCATGTGAAGGAGCTGAAGACATTAATATTGATTATGATAATAGATACTCTGGCTTTATTAGTGTCATTATTTTCTATTTTCTTTCATTTTCTTTTCCTCCCATTTTTGTTTAATTCTCATTTAGTCTCCTGGTGCAATTCAATCAATGTATTTGGTATGAAGTATTTCAAAAATAGAAGTCCCATTTTTGCATAAATTAAAATAATGTGGAAAGTAGAGACGCATCAAATCAATCATTCTTTCTCCCCTAGTTGCCTGGCCCAGTGATGTACTAAAAGATGAAGTATACTCCTTACTAGCAAGGTTTTTCCTCTCTTTGCCCAGCAGCCCTACCTTACTTCCCACCAACATGTCCTCCGAGCCACACCTTCCAGGATTTAAAGCACTGCTTCTACTTTGCCAGCACCAAAGAAAATCTGTGTAGAGAATTCTTGGCTTAGTTGCTCTCTGATAGATGCTGTATAGAATGATATAGGTCATAAATGGGAGTATGATGGAAGGGGAAGCAGTTATCTTGCAGCCACTAAGGACCTGGAAGCAAGATGTTTCCTTCATCAGAGCAGGTTAAATTCAGCTGCGAGTATTACAGTTCAAGTTAGTGGCTTAAGCAAAATAGAACTACATATTTCTTCCATGTAGGAGTAGTTCAGAGGTAGGCAATTCAAGAATTCATGGTTCCAGGAACTCAAAAACTTGCTCTTGTTTCTCATGCCTGGCTGCTTACATAACCAAAATTGCTTCATGATTCAAAATAACTGTTGATATTCTGGCCACTGCATCCACGTTTCATGTAGCAGGAAAGGTAAAGAGGGAAGAACAAGGATATCCCTTCCTTTTAAGAGAATCTTAAGAAGTGTCATGACAACACTGCTTCCTATATCTTATAAGATCTTAGTAGCCACACCTGGTTGTAAGAGGTGATAAGGAATGACATTTTTATCACTCAGCAATGTGCACAGCTAAAATACCAGGATTCATTTACATCAGAATAAAGGTAAATGGAATTTGGGCTAATTATTGCACTGTGACACATCTGTTCTGTGTTTGGGGTTGATGAAAATGCCCCGTATCACATCAGTAGCAGCCAGTGATGGAAATACCAAGTGTGCTCTGAACACCTGCATGGGGTTTCTATTGAGGAAGTGAGACTCAAGCTTACTGTTTCCTGCTGCACTCCATTGGAATTAAAATTGGTGAACAGATTTCTATGATTCCTGCGCTCATTGCTCTTTTTATCCTATTAGTGGACAACTAATAAACAAAGAGAATTTAAAGTCAAGTCTACTGAAGTGGCCAACCGTGTTGTCTAAAAGGCTAAGAATGTGAATGTTTTCTGACAGGTACATTACAGCAGTTTTCATTTTAAAATTTATACCCAAGAATATGTGGGTTACTGCTTGTCTTTGATTTATTTTTAATGTGGACAATGAACCCCAAACATGAAGAAGATGGTTTGGCGAAATGTTTGTAACATATGTCCTTTGGGAAGTGGCTTCATAAACTGGAGAATAGAACAAGAAATCTACGCTTAAATCTCAGCTTCAAGACTTCAGGATCCCAAGTGGTGATCCTGGGGCTACTGCTAAAATTCACTGAGATTCAGCTTGATTATATATGAAAACAGAGATCACCTTCAATCTCATCAGCCACAGAACCTGTCACACTGTGTGCATCTCTATCTCCATGCCTGGGGTCATGCCTTTATGCATGTAAATTTAATGGTCTCCTCATTCTAACTTCCTATAAGATTGAAACACAGAGGTCTGCGGGGCCTTTCCCGCTTGACCCATAATGTAATGTAAAGACCCATCCTAACACTGGCCTTGTGATGGGCCCTCCCTGTCTCCCTTCTTTTACATCATTCCCAACAAAAGCAACCCATCATAGTTATTTTACTAATAGTTGAGTAAAAAATGTAAAATTACCTCTCTCTCTATTACTTTTAGAATGTATAAAAATCAACAGGGAGTCTTCACCACAGGCTCCTAATATGAAAGTGTCTGTGCAGGAAAATCCATAAGCTAGGGTGACTTTTGAGTTAAATTAAATTTTATGGCTCAAAAAATGCTTTGCTTGGTTTTCACTACCATTATAAAGCAAAGAGGATAATTTCAGATTCAGTTTCTACAAAGGATTGCTTTGGGTTGATACAGGCTTTATGTTAGTGGCATGGAAGTATTTGCATCTGCACATTGATATGTAGTGAAATAGGCTGTAAAAGATAAGATCAATTTCCTGTTAAAGGTAAAAAGGCCAATGTAGCCAGATACATTAAGTTTTTTTTTTTTCCATTTGTCATTCAGGACTGTTTGACAGTTTTACATTAGCTGTGAAAGGCACCAACTGGTACACTACTGTCAAGACTTAGAAAGTAGGCACACGTACACAAACACGCACACATGCTGATGTAAAATATAAATATAAACAGATAGAAGCCTGGACCATACATATGAGTGCCAAAAATGCAGTTGTCACATGCATACACACCTATTAAAACATAGCAACACAATCTTATAGCAAAGACATGCACACACAGGTACAAGGACATTGACCAGATGACACAATGACACAGCTGGGATTGACAATTACAGGTGAGCAAGCAAGATGAGGGCTAATGTCCATAGGAGCCAAGAGACCTAGAGACCCTCATGTAAACACACAGAGATGTATGCATATGTGAACACACACACACACACACACACACACACACGCATGAAAAGAGAGACCCAGAGACAAGGCCAGACAAGAACACAAAGATCAACACTTACGTACACATAACTAAAAGGCATGCTCCAAAGTGTGCTAGAGACTCAGAAACATAGACCCTCACTCATTCATGTAGCCACGGCCTCCTGACCTCTGGTTAGCTATGTTTTCATTTTGTACTGAGACCTTTAAAGTAATTTATTTGCTTCAAGACTCTTCATTGACTCCTCCTTCGTCCGTTATATTTGGTCTACTTTGAAGTGTAATTCATTTCAAATTATGTTTTTAGGTTTAATTCCTACAATTCAGGTTCTCATGCATCATCTGGACTATTACAGTGGCTACCGGAAATTACCTGGAGTCCGTCTAGCCCTCCCCAAGTCATTCAAAATTACCCATGTGTGGTACATCATTACTGGGTAGAAGAACTGCTTCTAAAACCAAAAAATAACATAGAGTTCATTGAGTCCATTTTATATGTAAAATTTTGAAAGACTAGTAGTCCCATTATTGCACACACATCAATTCCAAATTGTTCTTTTCAACCTTGAGTAATTTCAAGGTTGAAATTAACCATTCTCCTTTATCTTTTATCCTCTATCCCTTTACCTTTATCTCCCTTCATACTTACCTCTTTCCAGCCACTTAAATTTTCCTTGTTTCCTCTTTATGCACATGTTTTTTTCGTATCTCCATAATTTTGCCCATCATTAAGCCAATCTTTCCTCATTCTAGCCTCCTTTAATAATGCTAATATGAATAGTTGCCTGGCCCTTCGCTCTGACAATTACATCCTATTTCTTCTGTTTGTTTTAAGTTTAGAAATCCCACCTGTATTCAAGATCTCATTCATTTATATTTCAAGCCTTAATTAGTAGGCTGTATCCTCTTGTAGCTATAAGTAGCACAGAGCTTAGTACTGTACTTAATTTTTCTTTCAGTCCTTTTCAATATATCAGTTCTCCCCAAATGAAATACAGTCTTCCAGAAGACAGGATCTCCACTTTCTTCTTATCCTTGGCATTTTCCAACCCCTGGCTCACTCTGTTATGATTTTGAGCACTCCACATCCTCATACTGGGGCATCTAGTTCCTGCTGCTTAAACTTCTGACTCCCAATGCTGTATCCTCAATCCCAGTTAGAATTCCAAACTCCAGATCTCTACTTCCCATTTTCTAATGATTGAAGCCTATTTAAGCCCCATGGATTAATTTCAATTTACAAATTCCTGAAACAGTACAACCCTTTCCCATTATCTTACTCTAAATTGATTTTTCCCTCTCTTTTTTAAAAAAATTATGGTTAATTGTCCTACCATACATCCAGTCATCCAAGTTAGAATCTCAGGCATTAATTTTTACCTTCTTGTTTCCTTTGTTTCTTCCCCAACATTAGGGACATTAAGACCTACCCTTATATGGCCTTGCTACCCATCACTTTCTGTCATCCTCTCTGAGTGCTGCTCTGGGCCATCCCCTCACCAACACGAGGTCAGGCAAGAGGGGATGATTGGCTTCAAGCTGCTTCTTTGCTTGCAATTTTGCCTCCTGTGATCAGCCTCTCTGATGCTAACAGAATCATCATTCTGAAAGACAAACCTGATCTTGTCTTTCTTATTGAAAAAAAACTTTAAAGGCTCAAGAGTGCCCTCAAATAAAGTCCAACCTCCTTTAGCAGCAGCGCCTTTTACAGCATCACCTTGACCTACCATCTCAGCTCAACCATCCCTTCCCTTCCATTTGCATCCAGACTATACTTTCCTCTAAATGCTGAATACATCATGTCTGTGATCATTGTTTACCAATTTCCCTTTATCCAAATGCTTCATTTACTGTTCTACCTGGGAAACTATGCTAGATTTTCAAGACTCAGTTCTGAAGGCATCCACAATTTGCTCTGGGAAAATTAAACATTTCCATAACATGTTCTACAAACTTGTAAGATAGCACTCATTATGTGGTTAGCTGTTCACATATCTTTCTCCCTAATTGGACTGTAAGTCCTTAGAGAATAGATCCTATATCTTATCCATCATTGTCTGCCCAGTATGATGTCAGGTAATCTGTGCATAGAATTATTGGCTAAGTTGCTCATGCCAAAAAATACATACTTTGGTAGACGGATACTATTTATTGCCTACCTAATATAAATTCTCTAGTTGATATATATCATTTCATTTGATTTCTACAGTAACTCCATGATATAGTTGCAATTGTTCCTGTTTTCCTAGTGAGATATCTGTGGTCTAGAGAAAATAAGAATTTGACCAGGTTAGTCTGTTTACTTTTCTTTTAGCCCATCATACTCTTTCCGTCAGCAGAATTGAAAACGTGTTCATAAGACATTACCCTTGCATCCAACTTAGGAAGCTCTGGAATAAACAACAGGAGCAAGTTTCTTCTTGTAGTAGTTCTCAAAGTCTTTAATACATTAATATGAATCTTCAAGTTTGTCTATACTGCACAGTACTTCCCAGATCTATTGGCTTTAGAAGCCATTTTATGAGATTCTCATGCAGGATATCCTTTGGGAAATGTAACCTTATATGAAAATGCTGTCTTTAAATAACTTCTGGTGTTCTTAGTCTTTAGGAGAGAACTCCTCTTTCCCAACTCTTTCTCAGGAGCATATACACATCCCTACCCAAGTGCTTCTTCAGTGATACTAATTTCTGACTGAAGTGATTGGCACATCACATCCTGGAATCCTGGAGACCTCCTCCTGTTATATGCCTCTTTTTGCTCTCAGCAGAGAGGAGAGAGATAGAAATGCATGCTTGCTGCTCCCTATATGTTTCTATCCATGCCCAAACACGTAGGCTACCCTCTGTCACAGAGCACACTGAAGGGGAGAGAATGCTTGGATTGAGCTGATTGAACTCCTTGGTTGTCTCCCATCTCCAGCGGTGTTTGGTTTGGGTTGAATGCTGTAGAGTTGCCTGTACCTTCTGCACTCTACAGGAGAAGCTGATTTATTTTTATCTCTGTCTGAGAACAACAACATGGCATCCCCTGATCCCCCTGGTAATTTCCTGGGCTCAATGATTGCTGTTTTCCTTGACCTGTTTCACAGCTGGTGGCACTGCTACTGACCTGGATTTGTTTTCCTTAGCTCAAATGACATAGTAGCCCAGGAGATGCATGGATTTGACAACACAAAGCCTCGATTTTTAAAACAAGACACACACACACACACACACACACAAACACACACACACACTCGGAGGGTTTTTGGAGTCAGAGAGAACATCAGTTCCACCCCTAGCTCCAAGACTCCAAATTTCAGGTCTGCTGCTTGCCAATTAGGACAAGTTACTCAACATCGTAGCCTACCCTTTCCTTACCTGCGTAATAATGATAATATTATCTACCTCTCCGGGTTGTGAAGAGGATTAAATAAGATACCTTAGTGCCTTGAAGATAGCAGCAGTCACTTAATGTTTGCTATGTTTATATTACTATCATTTTTCAATTTAGACTTTTATTGTTTCCCTTTATTACATTTACTGTATATTTTCTTTCTCATGAACTACCTATCTAGGCCTGATTGTGTGTTTTTTAATCTAAGGAGAAACTAAAAGAAAAATCTATTGATCCTTTCTACAAAGGGTTTGTGATTATCTGAGGAAATTAATCATAAACATAGGAAAAGGTTACCTATGATATATGCAATATTTTAATTATTTTTAAAAGAAAAGGTTACTTTGTAGATAAACTTTTTAGATAAATCCATTAACACTCAAGTTTAATGTTTACATAATAACTGAGTACAAAGACCAAGATTTGAAAAGAAGTTTTTTATGTGCGTATTACTTAGAGCATAATCCAACTAAACCAGTGGAACTAAAAACTTTCAAGCCTAGAAAGTTTAGATTCTTAGAATAATTTTTTTTGACATGGTTTTTCTTTGTCATGAAGGCTAGAGTACACTGGAGAAATCACAGCTCGCTGCCACTTCTACCTCTTGGGCCTATGTGATCCTCCCACCTCAGCCTCACGGGTAGCTGGGACCACAGGCGTGCGCCACCACATCCAGCTAATATTTTCTATTTTTTTGTAGAGACAGAATCTTGTTATTAAACATGAACAAATGGGATAAACTAAAAGAAAGATTAATTCAGTCTACCAAGACTAAATTAGAAAGAAATTAAAAATCGGAACAGACCTATAACCAGTAAGGAGAAGAAAAAATATTGCCCTGGTTGATCTCAAACTCCTGGCCTCAAGCAGTCCTCCTGCCTCAGCCTCCAAAAGTGCTGGGATTATAGGTGTGAGGCACTGTGCCCAGCCCATGTAAATTATCGAAGAGCCCAAAGAGCTTTTGCTTATGTGGGTCTTACCCATCAATATTAATGATAGTAAAATTAATATGAGAAGACTTTTAAAATATTTTATTGGTTAATGTAGAAAATAAAAATAAAACCAATGTATTATAAATATTCTAATGAAAAATAAATTATTTTCCAAAACGCCCTCACACATAAAAATGAGAAAAAGGGATGATGTACATGCATATGTTTCATTGTGATTAAAAATGCATAAAATAAAATTTCCCCTTTTAACAAAATTATAAGTATAAAAGACAGTATTAACTATAAGCACGATGAGGTACAGCAGATCTCTAGAAGTTTTTCATTTTATGTGACTAATACTTTATATCTATTGAAAAGCAACTGCTCGGTTAGCCCTTTGCCCAGGCCTGGGAAAAATCATTCTACTTTCTGCTTCTATGAGTTTGACTATTTTAGATACTTTATATAAGTGGAATCGAGCAGTATTTGCCCTTCTGTGACTGACTTATTTCACTTAGCATAATATCCTGAAGATCCATCCATGTTGTAGCATTTGACAGAATTTTCTTCTTTTTATGGCTAAATAGTATTTTATTGTATGTATTTACAAAATGCTGTTTACCTATCAAAGGTCATTTAGGTTTTTTATATCTCTTGGTTATAGTGAGTAATGCTGCAATGAATATGGGAGTGCAGATATCTCTCTTTGAGATCCTAATTTCAGTTATGTTAGATAAATACCCAAAAGTAGGATGGCTCAATCATATTATAGTTCTATTTTTAAATTCTTAAAGAAGACTTCATAGTGTTTTCCATAGCATCTGCACCATTTTAGGTATTCCAACCAGCAGTTCACAGGGGTTACAGTTTTTCCACATTTTTGTCAACACTTGTTATTTTATGTTTTTCTTTATCTTTGTAAATAAATATAATGGCCATACCAACAGGTATGAAGTGATATCTCATTATAATTTTGATTTTCATTTTTCTGATGATCAATGATATTGAAAATCTTTTCATATACCTATTGGCATTTGTATGTTTTCTTTGAAGAAATGTTTATTCAGGCCCTTTGCTCATTTCAAATCAGATAATTGGAGCTTTTTTTGCTACTGAACTATAGGAGTTTTTTTAAAAATTATATTTTAAGTGTTAACCCTTTATCAGATATATGGTTGGAAATATTTTCTCCTATTGTGTAGGTTACCTTTTCACTCTGTTAATTGTTTCTTTTGCTGTGCAGAAGCTTTTTAGTTTGATTTAGTCTCACTTATCTATTTTTTCTTTTGTTGTCTATTCTTTCGCTGTCATATCAAAAAATGCATTTCCAAGAATAATGTCATGAAGCTTTTCCCTTGTGGTTTATTTTAGGAGTTTTACAGTTTCAGGTCTTACATGTAAGTCTTTACCACATTTTGAGTTGCTTTTTATATATGCTGCAATATATGGATTCCATTTCATTGTTTTGCATATGGATTTCCAGTTTTCTGAACATCATTTGTTTAAGAGGCTATCTTTTCTCCATTATGTTCTTGGCATCCTTGTCAATGATTATTTGACGATAAATGCATTGGTTTATTTCTGGGCTGTGTTCTCTGTTCCCTTGACTATATGTTTGTCTTATGCCAGTACCATATTTTTTTATTACTGTAGCTTTGTAATATGTTTTGAAATTACAGAGTATGAGGACTCTGACATTCCTCTTCTTTTTCAAGAGTGTTTTAACTATTTGGGGTCCTTTGTGGTTGCATATTAATCTTTTCTTTTATTTCTGTAAAGATTGCCTTGGGGTTTTGGAAAGGACTGCATTGAATCTGTAGATTGCTTTGATACCATAGACATTTTAATAATATAGTATTAAGTCTTCCAGTCAAGAAAAGTAGAATGTATTTCCATTTATTTGTGTTTTTCAAAATTTCTTTCAGTAACATTTTGTAGTTTTCAGCATATAAGTCTTTCTTCTCCTTGCTTAACTTTATTCCTAAGTGTTTTATTATTTTTAATGCTATTGTAAATGTAATTATTTTTTTAATTTTCTTTTCAGATTGTTCATTGTTAGTGTATAAACACAACTGATTTTTGCATGTTGATTTTATATACTACAACTTTTGTTGAATTTATTTATTAGTTCTGACAGGTTTTTGTGTGTGTGTGTGTGAAATCCTTAGGAGTTTCTTCATATAAGATCATGTCATCTGTGAGTAGAGATTATTTTATTTCTTTTCATTTTTGATTATTTTATTTCTTTTTCTTGTTAAATTGCTCACACTAGAACTTCAGTACAATATTGAATAGAAGTGGCATGAGTGACATCCTTGCCTCGTTCCTGACCTTAGGGGAAAAGCATTCAGGTTTTAACTGTTGAATATGTTGCTAGTGGTGAGCTTATTGGATATGGCCTTTATTATGTTTGGTAATTTCCTTCTATTCCTAGTTTGTTGAGTGATTTTATTATGACAGAACATTAAATTTTTTCAAATTCTTTTTCTGTATATCTTGAGATGATCATGTGATTTTTATCCTTTATTCTGTTAATGTGGTGTATCACCTTGATTAATTTTTGTCTGTTGAACTATCCTTTCATCATAGGGATAAATTCCACTTGGTAAAAAAGTATATAATCCTCTTAGTGCGCTGTTGAATTTGATTTGTTAATATTTTGTTGAGATTTTTACATGCATATTCATCAGGAATATTGACTTGTAGATTCCTTTTCTTGCAGTGTCTTTTTCTGCCTTTGGCTTCAGGGTAATGCTAGCCTTATACATGAGTTTGGAGGGGGCCCCTCAACCACTTCTCAATTATTTGGAAGATTTGAGAAGAACTGTTGTTAATTCCTCTTTAAGTGTTTAGTAGAATTTACCAGTGAAGCCATTGGTCCTGAGTTTTTCCTTGTTGGATAGTTTTTTGTTGTTGTTTTTGTTTGTTATGTTTGGTGTTTTAACTGATTCAGTCACCTTACTTGTTATAGGTCTGTTCTGATTTTTCATTTCTTTCTAATTTAGTCTTGGTAGACTGAATTTATCTGTTTCTTTTAGTTTATCCCATTTGTTGGTGTTTAATTACTCATAGTAATTTATTATAACCCTTTATATTTCTGTGGCATCAATGTCTCCTCTTTCATTTCTAATTCTCTTCATTTAACTATTTTCTCTCTTTTCTTAGTTTAGATAAATGTTTATCAAGTTTATCTATCTTTTCAGAAAACAGCTATTAGTTTTGGTTTTTTATTGTTTCTATTCTCTATTTTATTTATTTTTGTTCTAACCTTCATTATTTTCTCCTTTCTGGTAGCTTTGGATCCAGTTTGGTCTTTTCCTAGTTTATCAAGTTGTAGAATTAGGTTGATTATTTGAGATCTTTCTCCTTTTTAAGATCTTTCTTCTTTTTTAATGTCAGTGTTCATTGCAATATACTTCTCTCTTACTACTGCTTTTGCTGCATGCCATAAAATTGGGTATGCTGTGACTTATTTTCATTTGTCTCAAGATATTTCTAATTTCCCATTTGATTACTTTTTAATTCAGTGGTTGTTCCAGAGTGTATTGTTTAATTTTCAACTATTAGTGAACTTTCTAGGTTCATTTTGGTATTTATTTCTAATTTCATTCCACTGTAGTTAGAAAACATACTTTTGATAAGTTAGTCCTCTTAAATTTGTTAGGACAAGTCTTGTGACCTAACATGTAATCTATCCTGTAGAATGTACTGTGTATACCTGAGAAGAAAGTTTATTCTGCTTTTACTGACTGGAATGATCCATATTTGTTTATAAGGCCCATTTGTTTTATATTGTGCAAGTTCTCTTTCCTTATTGATCTTCTGTCTGAATGTTCTGGCCATTATTGAAAGTGGGTATTGAAAGGTTCTACTGTTATTGTGTTGCTGTGTATTTCTCCCTTCAGTTCTGTCAATGTTTGCTTCATATGTTTAGATGCTCTGATATTGTATACATATGTATTTATAAGTGTTATATCATCTTGGTGAATTGACCTTTTTATCATTATATAATATCCTTGCTCTTGTGACAGTTTTTGACTTAAAATGTATTTTGTCTGGTATAAGTATGGCCATCCTGCTCTATTTTTTTTTCTTTTTGAATGGAACATGTTTTTTTTTCCATACTTTCAGTTTCAACAAATTTGTCCTTAAATCTGTATAGTCTTTTGTAGGCAGCAGATAATTGTATCTTTTTAATCTACTCTGCCACTCTATGTCTTCTGATTGAGGAGTTTAATGCATTCACATTAAAGGAGTTCTTGAAAAGGAAGGACTTCTTTTTGCCATTTTGTTGACTGTTTTCTTTCGTTTTTGTAGTGCTTCTGGTCCTCTTTGTCTCTTTTGATATCTTCCTTTATGTTTCATTGATTTTTTATAGTGACATGCATTGTTTTCTTTCTCATTTATCTTCTATAAATATTATCTTTAGCATTACCATGGGGCTTACATAATCATATTATAGCTTTAATAGTCTATTTTAAGCTGATAACAACTTAACTTCAATCACATACAAAAACTCTTCACTTTAACCTCTGTCCTCCTCTACCCTTTATGTTACTGATACCACAAATTACATCTTTTTATGTTGTGTATCAAATAGTATATTTTTATAGTTATTGCTATTTTTATGCTTTTGTCTTTCAACTTCTAAACCAGAATTAAAATTGATTTATGCACCATGCTTACAGTATTATAGTATTGTATATTTTTAATATATTTATCTTTACCAGTGAACTTTATATTTTATATGTTTTCAGTTTATCATTTAGCATCTTTCAGTTTCAATTTTTAGTACTCCATTAGCATTTTTTTGTAGGGCAGGTCTAGTGGAGTGGAACTCCCTCAGTTTTGTTCATCTGAGAAAGTACATACCTTCATTTTTTAAGGAGAGTTTTGCCAGGTATAATATTCTTGTTTGGCATTTTTTAAGCTCTATGAATATATCATCCAACTTCATTTTTGACTGCAAGGTTTCTGCTGAGAAATCCACTGATAGTGTTATGAGAGTTTTCTTCTACATAATGATTGGATTTCTGCTTGCTGCTTTCAAAATTCTCTTTGTCTTTGAATTTTGACAGTTAGATTATATGTGTCAGTGTGGACTTCCTTGGGTTCATCTTATTGGGGATTCATTTGCCTTCTTGAATCTGAGTGCATTTTTCCTTCTCCAGATTTGTGATGTTTTTGTTGTTTCTGTCCAGTAATTTTTTAAATAAACTTTTTTTTCTTTTCTCTCTATCTCTTTCCTCTCTCTGTTCTCCCCTGGGACTCCCATAATTCATGTAGTGGCCAGCTTGATAACTTTCCATAAGTCACTTGGGCTTTCTTCATTCTGTTTTTCATTCTTTTTTCCTTTTTGCTCCTCTGACTGTATAATTTCAAATGACCTTTCTTTGGGTTCGTTAACTCATATATCTCCTTAGTCAAGTCAGCTGTTGAACCATTCTAGTGAATTTTTCAGTTCAGTTATTGCATTCTTCAGGTGCAAACTTTGTTTTGCTTTTTAAACTATATCTTCTATATTTTTGTCTGCGGACCACATACTGAGAACTGCTGGTCTCAGCTGCTGTAACAAATATACCCAAGAATACAGAAGATCAAACAAGATATTTAATAAAATAATATTTGCTCATGTAATTGTCTAATGCAGTGGTTCTCAACTAGGGGAAATTTTGCCCCTCAGAGGTATTTGGCAATGTCTAGAGACATTTTTGGTTGCCATGACTGGGGAGAGAGAAGTTACTGGCATCCAGGGATGCAACTAAACATCTTAAATATACAAAACAATCTCCCAGAACAAAGAATTATCTAACCTCAAATGACAAGTTGAGGTACAGAAACTCTGGCTTAAAGATGGGAGTTGAGGTGAGGAAGATGGTTATCTCCTCCGCAAGATCATCTAAGGGCTGAGGTTCCTTCTTTTCTAGTTGTCGTGTTGTTTCCCAAGGAGTTGCCCTTGTCTACAGAGTAAGTCCTGCCTCACTGGGATAACATCTACTTTTTTGCAAGAGGAATAGAATTACATGAGCAATTAGGTAAGCAAATATCCTTTTATCTTGTTTGACCTTCTGTATTCTTGGGTATATTTGTTATAGAAGCTGAGACCAGTGGTTTTCAAGGTGTGGTCTGCAGAGAACCTTATAGGAAATATCTGGTGTCAAAACTATTTTTATAATAATGCTAAGATATTATTTACACTTTTCACTGTCTTGACATTTGCACCGATAGTATAAAATCAATGTCTGATAAAACTGCTGGCTGCTTAGTACAAATCAGCTGCTTAGTTGAGAACAATAAATGGACTCAAGAAAATAACGTGGAAGTTGTACACATCCTTCCATCTACTTACATTCCATTGGTAAGAACTTGTCCAAATGGTGAGGCTAAGACCTTGACATGGAGGAAGGAGTCCATTTAAAAGGGAAATTCAGGGAATGGTTTCTGGGGAAACACTGGCAATATCTGCCCTGATAGAGAAATGCTTTAAAGCTTTTGAAGGCATGCTCAAAGAAGTCAGAGGCCTTTTATCATAGAACAACTTGAAATTTTTATTTATGTATAATAATACTTTCTATATGTAAAAGAAACACATTTCTTGTTATATTTTGCAAACCCATGACTTACAATGAATTTGCCATTCACTTTCTGGAGACAATTAATTCCTCGGGGATATAATAAATATTCTTGCCCAAACGAAGAATGTGTTACTTTGGAAGAGGTCATTAGCTTCTACAAAATGTAAGTAAGCTGATATCTTACTGGTTTATGGGACTTATCTTTGGGCTTTATTAAAATCCTGCATTTTTAACTTGAAAAAGAAAAGGAAGACAGACATTGACTTACTGTCAAAATCAACAAGGTCTGGATGAAGGCCCCTTGAAAGTCTCATCCCTGTGAGCCGGTAAACATTTATATCTAATTTGAAATGAGATGCTTAATTACATAATTTCATTCCAATTAAGCTGCTAATTAATTGACAGGGCACCTTTGAGAGCTTTACACAGTGCAAGTAAAAGGCAACTACATCTTGAGTCTATTACCTATGACCGTTTGGGAGAGATCAGTAAATAACTATTTAAGAGGCTGGAGACAGAGTTTGCAAGAAGAGAAAACAAGAGGCTAGCCCTGGGAGATCCAGACTCAGGACCAGTCCTGGCCAAGACTCTTTTGAGCTTTTTTTTCAGTCTATTTCTTGAGTGAGTAATGAAAGGAAACAAAAGAAAAAAAATTCTCTTACTGAGCATTTACTACATGTATGTGCTAGGAAGCTGCAAATGAAAAATGTAAGATGCTAGACTATCTGCCCAGTTGTTGTTTTAAGTAACACTGTTGTTTGGGCATTAAGTAAGTAGTTTTGCTATCTCCCTGGTATTTAACTTAGCCAGGTCTTTCTTCTTGTTTTTCCATCTCTGAGCTTTATTCTGGGGTCAAATTAAAGCTTATTTTGTGTACAGATCATCAATGTCTATTTAATCTCCCCAGAGGGTAGTAATGCTTTTGTTGATAGTGAAAACAATTCCAAATTGACATCAGTTTTTCAAAATAAAATGGATTATTTTACTACTTGCATACTGCAGCTTATTAGAGTAGAAACATATAACAATAAACATCTATTCATACACACATGCATGATACTTCACTTGCCTGCACTGGAGAAGAAATTATTGGAATGTATCTTTTTCATCCAGTTTAATGCAGAAGCAGAAACCTAGGGTGGACAAGCTGGTTGTCTCATTACTGAACATTACTGTTGACTCAAGAGTCTTTCCACATTACTTCAGAAATGCTCCAGGACTGCATTATCACATCTTTACATCTCATCATTGGTTTTATTCTAAAAAATTAATGAAACAAGTTCGAGTTAGGTTTATCATTCAATCTAAAGAGTTTCGTGTAGTATATCACCCACTATTATCACCTAGTCCATAACTGGCATCATGCATCTTTTTAAAAATATTATTTGAATAGGTACGTTTCCTCACAGATATATCAACTATTGTGCATATCTCTAGTTCTGATTCTAGTTAATCAATATCAGCAGAAAGCTTATCATTTCATGTCTAAGTGTCTGTGTGGGCATGAAATTGTTAGGAATTGTTTTAGTGAATAACTGATTCAAAAATTCATTGCTTAAAAACAAGATTTTTTTTTACAGAAGCATTCAGAACTCCAAAGAGATTATAACTCACAGAGAATTATTTTAAAAAGCAGATAATATCTTATTCCTTTTTTCCACACATCTCCACATACCAACTTAAATCTTCACCAGTAAAGAGGAATCCAGGGGAAATCATAAGAGAAGCATCTTTGCTATCCTCGCTGAAGTGAGAGACAGTGAACTTTTCCTTTGCTCATACTCAGTGCCTAGAATCACCTAGGAAAGCCCCTTCCCATGGGAACTCAGCAGCCATGAGCAAGCTGCCCTTACAGGCTCCATCCTGGTCACTGACAGGTTACTCCGGCTGTGACCACTGAGGTCCACTTCCACTAATGCCTCAGAATTTTAACCTGAGCCTGACAAATTTGCAGGGTATGTGGGCACACATTACTGTATATTGCAGCTGGAATGCAAACAAAGTGGACCTTAATGGCAATTAAATCCCAACCCCTCATTGTACAGATGAGGACCTTTAAATGCAGATAGGTGACAAGCAAATATTTGGTTGTGGTCAATGTTAATGTTGAATTGATTACTTAATCAAAAATCACGAGATTGATCCATATTTAGACAAACATCTATGGGCTTACACACCGATGGAATTTACACCTTATGTATCTGTATACATTATAGACTTTCTGGACATTCAAATCCCTTTCGTAGAAGATTCTGAGGCTTTGAGATACTGGACTCTGGTCTGGTAAGACTTGTTTCTCTCCACATGGTACTGCCAGCTGTAACACAGGGAATCCCACTTAGGAGCATATGCAGGGAAAATGATCATCACTTTGCCAAGCCCTGTTTTATCCTTACTTCCTGGCATCAAAGCTATCTTACCTGATCTTACTTTCCACTAGAATAGAGCCCAATCTAGGCCATCACCCAAAAACTGGAGGAGACTTTTTGGTAGATACTTGTAATTGAGTTTATTTTCATATATTTAGTTTAATGCAAAATATAAATTAATGAATAAAATAAAATATTCAGAATGTCTTTTTTTAAGCCAAGATGATAAGCATTCCTTAGAATGTATGTGATGGAGTAATATGACACATGTGGACTAGAATATTACTGAGGCCGCCAACAGAGATGGCAACACTAACAAAAGTATGGCTTAACATTCCTAAAGCTTTGATTTGTTGCCTTCTTGAGAGGAGGTAGTTTTAATTCGCTTCTTATATGCCATTAAGGCATCGTTGCCTCTGGATATTTATGTTTACTTATCAGTTTATGATAGCTATTGATTTTTAACAGTTATTTTAAATCTCTTGAAGAAACACATGCAAAGATATTTTCAAAATTCATAGTTTGCTGTTAATCACTTATGTCCTGAAACTATTGCTAAGCAAAAGTTTTCATTATTTGTTCTTTGAGGGAGTATAAATTTAATTTAGAGTGAGAAGGATAAAACCCAGGATTCGTCACCATCATTTCAAACCAGATACTGTGATTTTTTTTGCGGGGAAGAGGTTGAGAGAGGCTTCCTGGTTTGCTCCTTTGTTGATTTTCTTACATATTTGACAGTGTCAACATTGAGGCTCACCAGATCACTGCCAAAGCCCATTGTGAAGAGTGGCTGGGCCAGTGTTTTAATTTTGGTATATATTGAAAGGATCGTATTCTATAATTGACTATGTTTTACTTAGATGGCATTACTGAATGTACATTTTCAGAATTTATTTTGAAGACTGACATCATAGAAGAAGCTCATCTAGAATACTATGTTCAAGCCTTTGAAATACTCAAAGAACTCTATAGATTCAGTGTAATCCCTATCAAAATACCAATGACAGTCTTCACAGAAATAGAAAAAAAAAAACGTAAAATGTATATGGAACCACAAAAGAGAATAGCTAAAGCTATCCTAAGGAAAACAAAACTGAAGGAATCATATTTCCTGACTTCAAATTATACTACAGAGGTTTAGTAACCAAAACAGCATGGTACTGGCATACAAAAAGACACAGACATCAAAGGAACAGAATAGAGAGCCCAGAAACAAATACACACACCTACAGTATACTCATTTTTAACAAAGGTACCAAGAACATACACTGTAGAAAAGACAGTCACTTCAATAAGTGGTGCTGGGCAAATTGGATATATGCAGAAGAAGGAAACTAGACCCCTATCTATCACCATATACAAACATCAAATCAAAATGGATTAAAAAGTTAAACCTAAGACCTCAAACTATGAAAGTACTACAAGAAAGCATTGCGGAAAATATCTAGGACATTGGTCTAGGCAAAGATTTTTTGAGCAGTACCCCAGCATAAGCAACCAAAGCAAATGGACAAATGAGATCACAAATTGAAAAGCTACTGCATAGCAAAGGATACAGTCAACAAAGTGGAGAGATAACCCACAGAACGGGAGAAAATAGTTGCAAACTACTCATCTGACAAGGAATCGATAACCAGAATATATAAGGAGCTCAAACAACTCTATAGGAAAAAATATCTAATAATCTGGTCAAAAAATGGGCAAAAGATTTGAATAAACATCTCTCAAAAAAAGACCTACAAATGGCAAACACCTATATGAAAAGGTGCTCAACATCATTGATCATCAAAGAAGTGCACATTAAAACTACAATGAGATAGAAGGTGGTGTACCAGAGGCTGGGAAGGGTAGCGGGAGGCTATGGGAGAGGTGAGGGTGGTTAATGGGTACCAAAGCAAATAGATAGAATGAGTAAGAGCTACAATTTGATAGCACAATAGGGTGACTATAGTCAATAATTACTTTATTGCAAATTTTAAAATAACTGAAAAATGCAATTGGATTTTTTGTAGCTCAAGAATAAAATTAAAGAACATGGAGAAGGGCAAAAAAAACTAAAAACAAAAATTAAAAATTTTAAAAAGCCATGAAATAATTAAGTAAACTGGATATTCACATAATGAAATGGCTACTTTTGAAAACGGTTTAATTTTATATAAATATAAAAGGTAGCCTCCCACTTCCCTTCCCAGCCTCTGGTAACTCTCCTTTTACTCTCTGTGTCCTTGAGTTCTGTTTTGATTTTTAAATCCCACAAACAAATGAGAATATGCCATGCTTGTCTTTCTGTGCCTGAATAGTTTTGAATAACTCTATGAGAAAATAAATCAGAGATTTTACCAAAATAATAGAGTTAAACATAAGATTTTTCAAAATTTTGTCTCTTTTCTAGTTTCCTTAATAAATGTGTGTGTTGTTATATATATTAAGAAATTTTAGGCCAGGCACAGTGACTCACACCTGTAATCCCAGCACTTTGGGAGGCCAAGGCAGGCAGATCGCTTGAGCCCAGGAGTGCAAACCAGCCTGGCCAACATGAGGAAACCTTGTCTCTACTAAACATAAAAAAATTGGGCTGGGCGTGATGGCTCACACCTGTAATCCCAGCACTTTGGGAGGCCAATGCGGGCAGATCACGAGGTTAGGAGTTCGAGACCAGTCTGGCCAGCGTGGTAAAGCCCCGTCTCTACTAAAATACAAAAAATTAGCCAGGTGTGGCGGCATGCTCTTGTAATCCCAGCTACTTGGGAGGCTTAGGTAGGAGAATCGCTTGAACCTGGGAGGTGGAGGTTGCAGTGAGCCGAGATCGCACCACTGCACTCCAGCCTGGGTGACAGAGCAAGACTTTTCTCCATAAAAAATAAATAAATAAATAAATTAGCCAGATGTGGTGGCGAGCACCTGTAATCCCAGCTTCTTGGGAGGCTGAGGTAGTAGAATCACTTGAACCTGGGAGGTGGAGGTTGCAGTGAGCTGAGATGGCATCACTCAACTCCAGCCTGGACAACAGAGCGAGACCCCGCCTGAAAATAAAAAAACAAACAAACAAAAAAAACAGAGAAATTTTGAACAAGATATAGACGATTCCAAAAGGAGCAAGCAATATGGCATGCAGTTCAGAACGGGGTCTTCCAAATACAGGCCCTGACTTGGTCATTGCAGGCCATGTGTCTTTGACAAAACACCTTTGCCCAATTACTTTTATAGTGAAAAGGGGACAATAATAGTGCCTACTTTCTAAAGTTGCTGAGAGGGTTGCATTAGAATGTCTTCAAAAAGCTTATCACATTGCCTGTCACAAAGTGATATTAATGATTATGTTCATAATACCATTAAAAAATTTATTACTTTCTAAGCAGGAAAAAAAAAATTCAAATTTAGGACAGTCCCATAATAAGAATTAATTTATTTTAACAAATAAAGTTATGGCTTTTGTTTTAAATTGAAATAGATAATTTAAGTACTTTCTCTTAATTATTTTATAAAATGTATGGTGTTTTAACATATGCAAAGTTGATATCAATTCTATTTTCTTAATCTCTCAAAGTTGCCACATTGCTATAGAAATAACTGTAAAAACATGTGATTTTTCCTTCCACTTGTATCTGAACAGCATTTACTCATTTAATCCAAAAGCTGAAGAGATGAAAAATTGGGAGATAGTGGTTTCACTGTTCACAGACAAGCTTTCCCACTGGCTCTGTGACCTCAAACAAATTGGTTTACTCCTCTGTGCCTCTGGGCCAGTGAGGAAGCTTTCAGCTGCCAACTAGGGAAGAAACTCCTGAGAATGCCTTCAGCAAGAGCGCAGCCAAGGCAGAGTAGCTCCAGGGCTGGTTAATTCAGTTACTCAAGGACAGTATCTAAGATCTAAGGTTTCCTCCCAACTGTATTTCCTGCATTCCTCCGTATCTGTTTTCTTCTCATTTTTCCCCTCATGCACACATGTTGGCCCAGGCATTACCCACAGATATAACTCTAGTAGAGACAGGAATGAATATGTCTTTTCTGTTGTATGCTTCGTAAGACTGAGAATCTCCTTCCTACAACTCCCCACCTCAGGATCTCCCTGACGTGGCACTATTCAGAACTGGGTCACATGTCACCCCCAGTCACTGCCAAGAATAGTGAGATTGCTTTGCTTGGTTAAAGCAGGATGAGCTTGTTAGAGTGGTTAGATTAATCAGGATTTGTCTCCGAGGTGGAGAAGGTTTCTTCTGTCTAGGTTGGACAGTTTAGCAACATTTACTTTAGGATTGAATTGACTTGAGTAACAATGCACAACATCTGCTGAATCCTTAATTTTTTTAGTCTATAAAATAGGGCAAAGTTCAGTTTTATCTAGGTCACAGAATTTTTAAAGGATAAAATGATATAATGTCAGCTCAGGCAGTTCAAGCAAGCCTATGACTCTCAAATGAACAGTGGTGCTTTCATGATAAGTCTAAGAATCCTTGGCCAATTATGTATAAATGCAACCCTAGTCTCTCCTTCATCTCCTTTCCCACTGTTCAGCCATGGCTTTCAGAGTTCATCATTTATTTCTACATTGACAGCTACCCCAATCCCCATTCCAAATTCACATGATGATAAAATGTACAAACTAGATGACTTCCAATCTTCTTATTTTCTTAACAAGTTTGCAGGAGCCATTAATAATGTAGAGCAAAATGCAGTCTCAGGTGTGTATACCACCAAGATGTAACTTACAAAGGTAACTCTACAAGAGGGAACTTCATTCCATGTTGTAAAACTACCATGTATTCCTTCTGTGTAAGTGGGCACAGGGAGAACTCAAAGTGTTTATGGCTTAGCATGCATGCTTTCTTACCAAACACTGTTCTTGTCCCTTGTTGTGGCCATTCTGAGTTCTTTTATGCAAATGTGACCCACTAAGAAGGATTGATTTGTGCTCAGGCCTCAGCCAATGCCCATTTTCTTATGCCCTGGGATTTGTTTCCTAGCTGCCTCTGGCCCTGCGGTTGAGGGTTCTTGCCAGTTCGATTCTAATACATGAACACTTTCCTTTCATTCTCTCTTTCTGATTTCCCTTTGCATTTATCTGCTCCCATCAATGCAAAATACTGAATGGTTCAAATTGATTTTCCTTCTCAAAACAGGAAAGGTCTGTTTTTCAAACTTCCGTACTTCCTAAGGAAATGTCTCTGATCAATATGTGTAAGAATTAAGGGGAAACGCCAGACTCCCCCTTCTGATTGTCAGTAACTCAGTGCAACCCGTTTACCTCTTAGGATTCTTCCCAGCAGAAAACGCTAACAATTGCAATTATCACCATTATGCAGTATGTTCAATTGTACAATCAATGTAATTGCCAAATGGAAATTATACAATAAATATAATTGCTGCTTTACTCCTGTGCAGTATTTCAGTGGCACTTCACATTTATTTTGTCTTTTAATTAGTAACAGGTATAATTGCAGCACTACACTCAGAGCTGAAGCTGAATAATTTGTGGGAGTGGGCATAGGGTACAGATATTGAAAGAGGGCTGCTGTGGTTCATTCTTTGCTGGAATTATCTAAAGATATCCACCTATTGTCTAAAACCCACCTAACAGCCCTAAATTGAGCTGACCTGTGGACACATTTGGTGTAAACTCCAGGTAAAAAAATTCCCTGCAGTTCCTGAGGCACATGACTTTGCCATCCCTGCTCTTGACTTCCTGCATCCCATTGTCCCTATTATTTGTCTATCTAGATGAATGTATTAATTCATTGATTTAATAAGCATTTATTGAGCACTGATTATTTACCTGCAGGAGATATGTAGTGAACAAGAGAGGCATGAAGCTTAAAATCTAGGGGAAAAATGCAGAGACTACATAAAGAGCGAATCAAGTGGTAGGAAATGTAAGGTGATTAGTGCTAAAACATGCTAAGAACAAAAAGTTATTATGACGTCATAATATCTTTTGATTTGATGGTCAGGGAGAACAACTTTCCAAGACATGATATTCAGCTTGAGATGATAAAATGAGGTAGGTTGTTCAAGTGGGGGTGGAAGAAGGAAGAAAGTGAGAGAGAGAGAGAGAGAGAGAGAGTTTGTGAGGTGTGCTGGAAGAGGTAGAGAGAGAAGAGCTTAGATTTAGAGGGTTTCCACATTATAATAAAGAATTAGATATTTATTATAAGTGCAATGGGAAACCAATGGAGAGTTTGGTGCACGACAGTGACATAACTTGATTTCTATTTTCTTTTACTTTTTAGACGGAGTCTCACTTTGTTACCCAGGCTGGAGTGCAGTGGCATGATCTTGGCTCACTGCAACCTCTGTCTCCTGGGTTCAAGCGATTCTCCTCCCTCAGCCTCCTGAAGAGTTGGGATTACAGGTGTGTGCCACCATGCCCGGCTAATTTGGGTATTTTTAGTAGAGACAGGGTTTTGCCATGTTGGCCAAGCTGGTCTTGAACTCCTGACCTCAAGTAATCCCCCTGCCTCGACCTCCCAAAGTGCTGGGATTACAGAAGTGAGCTACAATGCCAGACCTTGATTTCCATTTTATAAAAAGTCTATTCTGACTGTTGTATAAAAACTGATTGTAGAGGAACAAGAAATGAAAGAAAGCAGATACAGAGAAAATTGTCAGTGTCTGGGTAGAAGTTTCTGGTTGCTAGACCTAGGATAGTTCTGGTGGAGATGAAAAGAAGTGGAGTGATTAGAAGAACATTTGGAAGTGGATTGCCATTGCTGGTTGACAGAATTGATGTGAATGGTGAGATCAAGAATGAAATTCCGAATGGTGCTAGGCTTTTGGCTTGGAAGTTACTGGAAGTCTTTAAAAAAGAACAGTCTTATTAGTAAGAAAACAAAGCTTGTTCCATTTGAAATGCCATTAGACATCCAGGTAAACTATTGGATAAATACCCTAAGGGGAGTAGTCATTACCGTAGATATAAATGTTGAGGCTTAACGGCATTGACACTGAATAACCCTGGACCAGGGTGAGATAAACATCAGGAACAGAAAACAGAAGAGATCTCAGGATTGAGTTGTGAGTTTTTGCAACATTTAGAGGTTCCACAGCGAGGAAGAATTGGCAAAGAAAATTGAGTAATAGCTGCTAGTCAGGTTGAAGGAAAACTAGGAACCACTCCAGCCAAGAGAACCTTTACCAAGAAGAGAAACCTTAACGATGTGAAATTTTACTGAGAGTAAGAAGAAAGCAAAGCTGTGGTCTTTCCATTTGGTAATGTGGAGGCTGCCACTGACCTTGTCAGAACAGCTTTAGTGGAGTTTTTAGGCTACATATATGATATGTGTGGGTTGAAAAAAAAATGAGGTGAGGAAATGAAGACAGCATGCACAGATGATTTTTGGAGTGCTGTGACAAAGAACAAGAAGCCCAGTTGTAGGTGGAGGGGCACATGGGTCAGAGAGGCTGTTGGATATTTTTGTATGCAAGTAAGTGTGAAAAGTGAGAAATGGATGCTGCAAGGTGGGAGGTGGAGTGCTTTGAGAACAAAGTCCTTGAGTAGATGAGAAGTGGAATCCAGAGTATAAGCAAAGAGGCTGCCTCAGACAGGAACAGAGGCTTGTCTTCCTCTGTAATGGGAGAGAAGGCGAGAGTGTAGGCATGGATTCGGGAAGGTCAGTATGTGACAGTAGGAGGACTGCTGCTGCCTCCCCGTAGTTCGTGATCTAGAGGAGAGAGACTCATTGTACACAGCTCACTACATGAGTCAGACAGTGGTCTGAGCAGACAGCAACAACTGCTGTGAGAGGGCACCGGTGGGAGGACTCTGCCTACCAAAGTTTGACAGTGCAGGTGGCATCTGACTTTGGCGTTGAATAATAGATATTATTATCCTGTTATTTGACTTAGACATCAACAGGTATAAGGGCATTTCCTCTAGAAGGCCGCTTGCGAAAGACCTCGTATCAAGAAAGACTAAGGAAGACATATAGGTTGATCTCTTTTTCCACAGAACCCTCTCAGGCATCAGTGCTTTTTCAAAGCCCTGTTCTCCTTTGAAAACTTCCTCTCTCCCTTTCCTTGGCTATTTTCTAATTATCTTGCAAGGCTAAGTTGAAGTGTTCCTCTTCCAGAAAACCTTCCCAGGGCCTACCCCCAAACCCCTTATCAATTTGAGTTAGATTCCTTCCTAGATGTAGGTGGAGCAAAAAGATAGTGGCCTCTATTTTTTGGATGTGTTGGCATGAGTGTTGGCTTTATCCATCTGGTAGAACAAGAAGCGTCCATGGTGGTAGCCACTCAAGAGCTCAGGCAAAATGGTATTCTGAGCCCCAGAGGGCTAGATTGAAGGCTGCCAAAAGAGAACAGTGTTTGCAATCTTGGAAAAAATCCTTGTTCATGTTTCCATGGACACGTGCAGTTGAGTCCAGCTTTGCACTTCACTTTGGTCAAAGAGTATTTTGATGTGTATCATGAAATAAACATACAAATAATAAAAATCATAAACAAAACTCTCAGCATATGGGTCAGAAATCCTACTCAGTTTGTCATTTATGGTGGGACTCAAGTACTATCAGCACCAACTCCACAGCCCAGGGATGAACTTTGTTGTGGTGTCTGATAGGAAAGTTCAATCGAACAAGCTCCCCCCACCATATCTCTATAAAACAGTCTTATGCTATGCTATGGAAAAGGTTTCAGTTATTTGTCTGAATATGGTGGGAGGATAATATCACCTGCACCACAGATACCCATGCCCCAACCCCCAGAACATGTGAATATGTTATTTGACATGGCAAGAGGGAATTAAGTTTGTGGATGGAATTAAGGTTGCTAATCAGTTGACATTGAAATGGGGAGATTATCCTGCACTACCTGGGTAAAATTAATGTAATTACAAGGGCTCGTATAAGTAAACCAGAGAGGCAAGAAAGTCAGTGTCAGAGGGACACAGCATGAAAAGGACTCGACTGGCCATTTCTGGCTCTGAAGACAAAAGGTGGCTGCAGATGAAGGAATGTAGGCAAGAAAAGGCAAGAAAATAGATACATCCCCTGCAGTCTCCAAACGGAGCACAGCTCTGCTGATATTTTGATTTTAGTCCAATGAGACTAGTTTCAGATGTCTGACCTGCAGGACTGCTTTTTTGTGTGTGCTGTTTTAAGCCATAAATTTTGTGAACATTTGTTGCAGCAGCAATAGTAAACTAATATCCAGTGTGATGTACCTCTGTGCCTGAATCTGAGACTCCATCTAAAACCCGTGCACAGTCACAGTGTATAAATGGGTGACAAGATGAAAACATGGCGGGATTCATAAGCAAAATGCTGTGCCTCAGAACAGTGCCCTTTCAGTAAGGGGATACTAAATAGATGACAGTTTTTAAACAGAACCCCTCAGAACTTCAGTTTCCTCAGCCTGACATTTGGGGTAGTAACACATTTCTACATTAGAAGGAGATGTAAGTAAGATAATGTGCTATGAATGGTTTTGTAAACATTTATAAATTTCCTTGTAAGATCTCTGCGATGATTCTAATACTCTTTTGAAGCACTAGAAAGTACACTGGCCTGAGAAATGCAAGAGCTGGGTTCAGGTCTCACTTTCAATGCCTGTGGCATTCATTACACAACCCAATTTATCTTTCTGAAGACTCCATTTGCTCATCACTAAAATATGGATAAAAAGATTTAGTCAACTATGCTAAAAGGTAATAATAAAAGTAAATGCACTTTTATTTATTTCCACTGTGTGTGCAAATAATTATTAATAAAATATGTCACCATACTTACTTCTCATTCTTGGTCAATAAAACAATATCCACAATTCCAGCTCTCACTGTACAAGGTCTCTACATGAGCTACAGTGAGTGAGTGAGTGAGTGATAAGGAAGAGGGTGAATGGCAGGTGCAGGAATGCCCATATAATTGGTGAGCTCTTTCTCCAGCCACTGTGTCCAGGATCTATGCTCAGATCTTAAGACAATCCCTGTAGTCCTCGGTAGAAAGCCTCTTAGGAATCACTCTTTCATATTTAGATTTATTCCTGGGAAACTTAAAGCTACCTCAAACCCAGTTCTTTTGCTCAGAGTTCTCAACACAATTCTCTGAGTTGTCTAGTGAGTAGAAATAGAAGCCAGAGGTTCATGGAAGTCCATAAACGCAGTGTACATGTTAAGCGTTTAAGAAAATGCTGTCCGTCTTGAAAGCAGATCAGGAATCTAAGAGTCAGGGTCATTCTCTGTGACTGCAGTCAAGATGAGAGCAACCAACTGGCCCTCACAGGAAGTTTTGGGAGGCAGAAACTTCATTGATTCATCTACCTTCAGAATTTCACATAGCACCAGGCACATAGCAAGTGAATGAATGTTTTATTTAAAGGAAATCTGCTCTTTTGAACAATATAAGTCTTATTTTTTTCAAAGAGATGTGTGTTATCAAGGAACTTGATATGCCCAGAGGTTAAACTTAGTTTTCTGACTGCCATTTCTATAGTACAAAGGCTCCAGGGTGCTTTCTGTATGGATTAGATGTTAGGCACACAACTCTCCCAAACAAAACTAAAAATTGTTCCACAAATGTGGAAAGTATAGAAAATTAAGTAATATATGCAAAGTGATGAGAATGGTACACAGAAAAGAGTGCAATGTGTTTGTATTATGCTATGTGATCTGGCATAGGTTCAATTATATTTTCATTGATAATTTTCCTATAAATCCATGCTTTGGAAAATGACCTGTCTTTGTTTTCCCTAAAGGTAATGTTATGCCTGTATTTGTGTATCTTATCCTAGATAAACAACACCAGATGTTGAAAGAGCATAGGAAGGACCATGTGATATTTATCTTAAGATAATACTAGAAGAAGTGAGGCTATTCTAGAACTTAATTGATTCCTGATAAATCTGAGAAACAAAAATTTTGAGTCCTTAAGCTATTCATGATTTCCATTTAAGAAAAATTTGTCTCTATTTTCTTATTTCCCAAATATGTTAATTATTGTAAACCAAATAGAAGCAATAACTGAATTCTTCATTAATAAAGCTGCTTTGTTTAAATGGCTGTCGACATCTTATATTATTATATAGAATATTATGGTGACATAGTCTTATCAAAAAAGAGAACATTTAATCACAAATTTGTAAAGCAACTGGATTTTGAAAATCCATGAACATTTTGTACACAATAGTTGATGTTACCTTATGAAAAATAAAACCTTACATGGTTGTTCCATTAAAAGCCCCTGCTTCTAATACATAGCTATTATTTTATTTTCATTAAAAAATATGGGGACGGAAACACTGAAAATATCACTTGAAGATAGGCACAGCCTGTCTGGTTTCTTTTATGGTTTTTCAGATTCCAAACGGAAGAAAAAGATATATAAACACTACTTCCTTGGGTGGCAGATCAAATAAAGGACAGTTTTGTTTTTGTTTTGTTTTGTTTTGTTATTCTTGCAAAAGCTCTTAGTGAGGTAGAACAAAATAAAAGATGGTTTAAAACAAGAGAATCACATTTATATTGCTTGGCTGTCTTATTTGTAGGAAAGAAGATAAATTCTTTACAGATAGGTAACAGCACTACCCGGTGCTGACTATTTGAGTGGGATATATTTCCAGTTCATTAAAATAAGCAAAGGTGATTTAAAAACCTTCAACTTCTTGTACAGTCACACTTATCAACCTAGGTTAATTGGGAGAAAGGCCATATTTCTCTCTGAGGTTTAAAAAAGTGTTGTTTCATTCATTTATTCGCTCACTCATTCATTCACCCCCTCTTCAAATTCATAAAACATCAGTTCGTGCAAGGCTATGATTCTAACTAACGTACTGAAAATAACTTAAGGGGCCGGGCACGGTGGCTCACGCCTGTAATCCCAGCACACTGGGAGGTCAGGGTGGGCAGATCATGAGGTCAGAAGTTCGAGACCAGCCTGACCAACATGGTGAAACCCCGTCTCTACTAAAAATACAAAAATTAGCCAGGTGTGGTGGCACACATCTGTAATCCCAGCTACTCAAGAGGTTGAGGCAGGAGAATCGCTTGAACCCGGGAGGCGGAGGTTGCAGTGAGCCAAGATCACGCCACTGCACTCCAGCCTGGGCAACAGAACACGACTCCATCTAAAAAAAAAAAAAAAGTACAAAAATTTTCTGGGCGTGGTTGCATGCACCTGTAATCCCAGCTACACAGGAGGCTGAGGCAGGAGAATTGTTGGAACCTGGGAGGCAGAGGTTGCAGTGAGCTGAGACCTTGCTACCCCTGCACTCCAGCTTGGGTGACAGAGTGAGACTCTGTCCGGAAAAAAAAAAAAAAGAAAAGAAAAAAAAATAACTCAAGTAACAATAACTAAGAGTATATACTAATTATTTAATTCATTAATCAATTTGTTCATTTTTATTGCCTATTATGATGTATAATTCCAAGTTTCTCAAACCTAAACCAAAAATATGAAGCAAATTTGTAGTGCAACCTGGAAGCTTCTCTCCCTGCACTCTAATTCTGATATGTTGGTGCAGCTCTGCTTAGTTCAAACATGTTCTGGGAGCTGAGGTATTTAATATAGTTCATGCTTTAAATACCAGATAGGTTGGGAAACACTTTCATTTGAAAATTTATGTGAATATATAAACTGATCTGTTAATACACCAATTTATTTATGCAAATGTGTATTTGTGGCCCTTAAAGTCAATTTTCTTAAATAGAAATAGTTTTAGGCAGTTTATGTAAAACGTTGATTTTCTCATCCATTTGCACTTACATTAACTTCTGTATGGTGACACAATAAAGATAGCTATTTGTTACTTGGTAGGTTAGCACCTGTCATCAATATTTGGAGCACTGCCTATAAAACCAGACTTAGATAAGGGTCAAGGAAGCTATCTACACTTGGTGCCTACAATATTAAGTTTTTCTGTATCAATCTAATTTCCAGATTACATTTCTTTTTTTTTCATACAGTTTAACGTCTGATGCCCGCTATCTGTGTTATTGAGAGTGTGCATGTGTGTGTGTGTGCGTGTGTGTGTGTGTGTGTGTGTGTGTGTGTTGCCAGGAAGTAGAATAAAGGACTATATTCGTATCAGAGCACTTAGGACATCACTGTGGAGATTGGTTTATTCCTTCAGCCTCAGTATCCTTATCCGAAAAATGTACATAATTACACATAGGGTTGTCATAAGGGTTAAAGTCACTCTTTTTCAACAAATTTTTATTGAGCACCTCCTTAATATCAGACACTATTCTAAGTACTGGAAATACAACAGTGAACAAAACAAAATATTGCATAAATGACAATGTGCATTCTTAGCATTGTGCTAATAAATTAATCTTCAATTATTAGTGCAATTGGTGTTGTTGTTGAGGTAGTGGTTGGTAGCAGTAGTAGTAGCAGCAGCAGTGGTTCAGTAATACTTACTGACTCCTGTACCAGACTGGATATTTCCTGACACACTGATATGAACTCCTAATAAATAGTGCCTACTAAATACCTGGCATGGAGAAGAGATGCACATATTTGTTGAATTGAAGCATTGACTATATGTTTTCATGCATATTTTTGTAATTAACAAATGAAAGAAAGGCAGAAAGAGGACTAGGATGAGGACCATGTGATGGAATTACTCAGCCTGCTTATTTCTCACAAGGAATGAGGGGATAGGGATATAGGAGGAGATTGGTGGCATCGATGTCTAATATTATTTGGCAAATAAATCAATGATGGGTTCTAACTCTATCTTTACAACAAACCTATGACGCAAGAGGAAGAGAGAAAGTAAGTCGCATGCCCGAAGTCAAGCAGCTAGTACTGCAATGAATTCAGAAAAGAATCAGGCCTGTTACTCTCCGAAGGCCTTTCTCTTTCTTTATCCTCTGAAGTAAAGCTGAGGACTGCTTTTTGGGTGAACTAACACTTAGGAGTTGAGAGTTTCAGAAAAAGGGCTTGCAATGTCATGTCCTATTGCCACTGAAGAAGAAAAAGGCACACCAACTTCACACTCAGCTACTCCAAGTTCAGTTTCAATTAAACATAAAGAGACAGCTGGGCCGGGCACGTTGGCTCACACCTGTAATCCCAGCACTTTGGGAGGCCGAGGTGGGCGGATCACGAGGTCAGGAGTTAGAGACCAGCCTGGCCAACATGGTGAAACCCCATCTCTACTAAAAATACAAAAAATTAGCCAGGTGTGGTGACAGGCGCCTGTTCTTCCAGCTACTTGGGAGGCTGAGGCAGGAGAAATCACTTGAACCCAGGAAGTGGAGGTTGCGGTGAGCCAAGATCGCACCAGCGCACTCCAGCCTGGTGACAGAGTGAGACTCTGTCTCAAAAAAAAAAAAAAAAAAAAAGACAGCTGTGGTTTCAGGCTGGAACCACTGGAGCCAGAGGGGCCTCTAGAAAGGCCTGGACTCCATGGCCAGAGGGAAGGAGTTTCACAAACAGGATTTTGATAGCACTTTAGCCAACAGTTCTTTGGTGTTCTAATACTGCTTGAGAATGGTTTTGATGTCTCATAAGGGGTTACATAGTGAGTTATCTGAAATCATTTCTGTCTCAAACTGTCCAGTCTCCCTTACGGTGCTTTAGTCAACTCTTCGTCTTCTCAGTCTTCATGTTAAAAGGAAAAATCTTAGTGAAATCTACTACAGGAGACCAGCTAATTTCTTGAACAATAGTGACCATTTTGGTGAGAGGCCTTTAATAGCGGTATTGAGAAGGCAAACCTTCAATTAGAACTGAAAAAGTTGTCTTTTTTTTTAGCAGGAAACTGGTAAAGGGGGTATCTTTGCACAAAAGCAGTCATATCAGCAGGAGACATTGTAAAATTAACCAGTCAAGATACCTTTCAAAGGTAACTATTAAGAAAGGGAAACCATGTAACACCCACCTTTCAGCAATTTTTTCTGTAACATTTTATTAAGTATCTTTTCTTAAACAAATGCAAAGTGTATTTTACTTCACATAAATTTGACATTCATTTCATCGTTCATTTTGTGTCTAGTATGTAAGAAATTATATTCAATTCTGTTGAGGATTTAGAGAAGAGAGAGACACAGCTTATGCCCCACAGGTACATAAAGTTTAGATACGAAGACAATTGATATACACCCATCAAAATAGTAGTAATCAAAGGAAAGGAAGAGGAAGAAACAGGTATTTCTTGAAGACCTACTGAGTACCTGCCAGATACTTATTATTGTTTTCATTTTAAACAGGAAACAGAAGTTTAGATGGGTTGTGACATTTGCCCACGTTCACACAGGTATAGATTTAGAGATAAGACTCAAATTCAATTCTGTCTCCTCCCAGAGCCAGCACTGTGTTCACTAAGCCCCCTGACTCACACACATGACACAGGGATCTGGAGATCTCTGCTGAGGTGTTGAAGCTTTGAGGAAGAGATAGCATTTTATACATGCATTGGAGATCAAGTTGTAACAAATGGAATTTTAGTACATAGTTATTCCAGATCATCATCTTATGGATTGAGGGGGTAAATGAAGGAGCATGTGAGTCTTCCTTGGTTTTTCCCTGAAGTATTTGGGAAACTGAAGGCAAAAAAAATCCAAAGTCCAAAGCGTGCGTAAGAGTCGTTGCCACTTTTGAGAGAATAAGTCTGTAGATACCTTTTTACCTCCTTCGGTCAATGAATAAGTGCTACTGAGTAAACTTACATTATTTTCTATTTTACAAATTACACTATCAATATTACTTGGAAATCCTGTTGCCTATGTATTTCTACACAGATCAAAGCTTTTCCTGTGGTCGGAATGCTCTGATTGAATCCACAAATCTTACTAGTTGAATCAAAATCAACGGCTTAAATGTCAGGATCTCTATCTGAGGAGCTGTAGACCCCTGTTGAGGTTTTTTTTGTGTGTGTTGTTGTTTGTTTGTTTTTTACCAAAGTCCCCCGAAAGATGAAGAGGGCATTGTCTTGTAAAAGGAGGGACGTGGGAAGATCTGACTAGAAGAAAAACATGTGTCATAAAAATTACTGAATGCTATTAGACTATATAAAAGTCAGTTCTTAAAAGTCCCTTAGCAAAAAAGCACATTTGTGGACAACAAGCTGTTCACTTTGATTGATGTGTGATATACACATAGGAGTATGTGTTAGATTAACTGGAGGCACATTAGGGAGGACATGAATGTCAGGATGAAGAAGTTGGAGTAACTGGGAATAATTTGATTATTTTGAGCAGAGAAGATAATCATTGCAGCTGTGCTTTAGAAAGACCATCTGTGAGTCATGTGTAGGACGGATTATAGAAAAGAGTGAAGACACAGCAACCAGCCAGGAGACTGTTGTAAACCTTCAAGCAAAGATAGCAAAATTTCAGATTAAATCAGTGGTGATGAAAAAGAAGAGCTTGAGTTGGATTCTAATAAATACTCATTGGAAATGAGTATTCCATTTCCATGTAAATGGACAGTAGGCTACAAGTAGCGGATAAAGCAGAAGAAAGCATCAAACACGCCTCCTAGTACTTGAGCTTGAGAAATTCAGCTTGGTTTGAGTTTGCATATAGTGAATATTTAAAAATAAAAGTAGCTTGTACTCTTTCACATAGGAATTACAGGATGTAGTCACTATGGAAGGTCAGTTCACTGTCTTTTAAGAGGCTTCTCTCAGTAGCATTGCTTTTTCTGGTGAATTCAGCATAAAGACTAGGCTTAGAAATTGACTTTGTCTGGAAATTAAAGGCATATCATTTTTTCAGGGGTGACTTCACATTAAAAACTATCATAAGACATATAAAATTAGAATGCAAAATTAGTACATTATAATAAAAAATAATTAATGGCCGAATATGAATATGTTTAGCTTCCATTCTTACTTTAAGCATACCTTCATGGGAAATTACATCACATAAATCAAAAACAGGATGTTCTTTGATGAACAAGGAATCAACAATGAAAGTTGGATGGGTCAAATATTTAACAACAGCCAGGAACATCCATCTGCCAACAGAAATTCTGTTTTTAAAAACAGAATATTTAGCATTCTCTAATGCAGTCTACTGCATTAAGTCAGGTTTGCATGATAACCTGACTTTTCATTATGACTTTTTTTTGGTTCTTTATTTAACTGACCATCAGATTTAATATGTTAATGAATGTAAATAAAATGCATCAAGAGTATAGTAAATTCTTTTGAGAGTGGGCAGTTTTCTAACTCTTTAAGGTATCATTTTGTATCTTGATTCATTAAAGTTGACTGTACAATTTAATTCTGAGTACAGTGGTGTCTTTTATTTTGCAATCTACCTCACTGTATAACCCACATATTAACAGGAGCTTTATAGAATCTGAGGGGCTGGCAGGATATAAAGATATACATTAATCAAGGCAACTATTGTTAGTTTGTAGTAAATAGTCCTAAAATACCACTGTCTTACTACAACAAAGGTTTCTTTCTTATACTTATCACAGTCTAATGAGGGTTTGTTAGTTCTCCATTGACTCTCTCCCATTCTTCACCTAGGGGTGTTCCTGGAGGCTGCCCTGATTAGCTCTCATCAGTGGGCTCCTTTGCCCTCTAACTTCTGATTTGGCTCAGTCAGTGGAGGACAACCACTGTATATGACTGAAGAGCAAGAGAGGGGATTTAGCTGCAGTGTTTATTTCTGCAGTGTTTCCTTTACTGGCAGCATGTTCCTATTAAAAGGAAATTCTCCAGTCAAGTGGCATTCGCTGTACAACTCTCTCTGTGTTCTGGAATCTAGTTTCTTCATTTGTTTTCTCAGGCCTAGGAGTAGTAATATCTCTCCACCATTACTAGCCCTGGGGGTATTACATCATTCTTCATTGCTAGGTATAAAATTTGTCCTCACCTATATAAGAGATGTCCTGTAAATCTCTTCTCAATTTCTCAACTTGGGTGTGCCATATGCTGTCTACTTGAACTTTGACATGTATTCTCAAAACAGTGAAGTGGCTATTTAAGCTCCTTCTTTCTTGTGATGCTATCATTTTAAACACATGCTCTCTAAGGTTGCTGCAGAAGTGGAGACAGAGTGAGGATGTTTGCACAAGGTTTTGTGCTTAGTCCTAAACATGGAAGACATTGCTGCCTATATGTCACATGGCTCCAACATAACTGAAGTGGGGTTTTCTCATAGACTCAGACAAGTTGGGAAATAATGGGATTTGGTGAGCATTTGGTATTGTTTGTGTCGTACATGGAGATATGCAATAAGCAAATGGAAATGTGGACATTAACTCAAAAGGAAGGATGATATTAAATACATAGGAGAACTTTAGATGGCACTTGAATGTTATACCAATTCAACCCCATCATCAGTTTTGACCACATCTTTCCATTTCTTAAACATACTTCGTTCCCACTACAGATGCCATCTTGGTTCCTTCTCTACCTCTATTTTGATATTCACATAGACCAGTACTACAGATTTCAGTTATGTGGTTCTTCTGGGTTCCATCTGTTTCTTTTCATTGTAACTAACAGAAGCCTGGTCTGATTTGCTAGGTGAAGCTGTACAAGTGAAAGAGAAATGTTGGAGAGATGTTTCATGGAGAAAAGATAGCCAGACAGACTCCAGATTACGTCCACGAATATAGAAGCAAGAAGAGAACTCAGTAAGAGGTATATGAATCAGGCTCAGTAAGAGGTATATGAATCAGGACAATATCATCAAAGACAGTCCAGGAAGGAGGTTCAAAAAAGAAGACATGGACAGAAGTACCAAATTCAGGGATATGTGAGAGGACATGTGGAAAAGAGCTCTGGATATTCATGCTCACAGTCTTCACCAATAGTGGACTGAAGGAAAAGATGTCATTGAAGGCTGTACAGCCACCACAAAGAGGAGGGAGTTTCAGTGCAAAGAGGGCATGCATTTCTTTCATCTTCATCCTTACTTCTTTCCGAACTTCAATTCTTTGAACAGTCTACTTGCTACCTGCCTGAATCCTTTCTTAATCTTCTTCACATGTACTCCTTCAACTCCAGAAATAGGTTTTCTGCCTTTTCTTTGTTAGGATCACATTTCATTTATGTTCTTTAATCCAAGTCAGTTCCCAATCATTGCTTAACAAGACTTGGCTTCTTATTGATTCTCTAGTTCAGTTGCAATGGTCTATTCCAAATCTTCTCCAAACACCTTAAGCTGCCATCCACCATATAGGCCTTACTCAATGATGCTCTACTTTTCTTCCTTCTACCTAAGACAACTTTGCTTTGACACCTCTGTAGGCCTAAGAAAGTGGCCTGCAAATATGTTGCTATTCACTCTTCTCACCTCCCAAAATACCACCTTAATCTCTCCTGCTTAATTTGCATCTTCAAATATTTAGTTTCTCTCTTATTGCTTACCCCTTTGTCTCAGGATCTAAGAACAGGTTTAGAACAGATAACTGAAATCTCCATGACCTCCTTTAGATAATACCTTTGGTCTCTTCCCCACCAGAGTCTGACAATTTACTAAACAAATGACCGTTCTCATTGGTTTAATAGCCAGTTCTTTTCATTTTCCCCTGCTGCCCCTCTGCAGGAATTACTAATAAGCTGCAGACTTGGGCAGTAGCAGGCAGTAGGGATGGCTAGAGGTGAACAGTGGCAGGCAGACCCTTCTGATCCTCAAGCAGCCTGCCTGGAAGTGAGCATGTTGCAGGAATAGTAGTGTTATCTCTTGAGATAGATTTCTCTTGTGTCTTCTAATCTCCCCCCAATGCCAGTGTTATGTGTGTGAACCACCCTTGAAAACCATCTTCTGCTTTCCATTTGGCTTTCCCTTTGGGCTGGCTGTAATATTTGCTTGCTTTCCTATGTCAGGACTCTTTGAATGTATACCTGTATCTTGTAGCTATCTCAGGGACCTTTACACCAAGCTACATATTAAAATAGTTTTCTCTATTTAGTAATTCTATGTTTCTTCTTTATCAGGATATTCCTTCTCACTTTTATCCCCAAAATGGAAGAAATAACACGTTTTAAAAATTAATTGCATAGCACATTTGCAAGTTATGTTCCCGTACTTAGTCCAGTTTAAGCCTCACGCCAAACTTATGAGGTTGATATTCTTACTTCTATGGTACAGACAAATTAATTGAGGCAAGAAGCAGCTCAGGCCCTTGTCTAGTTGACTGCTGTGACTCATACTTTCTGTTCTTGGCTGCTGAGTCCCTTGCTCCACATTTCTGCTTTCCTAATTGTTTTTGACACAAGGAAATGAGAACATGTTGGAAAAACAATAGTCTTTCTGGATGAGTTGTTGGGCTAAGTGACCTTTAAGGTATGTTCTAATCTAGAGGTCTTTGGTTCTTGCTTGATTATAGTGCAGTACTATTAGACAATCAATGCAATTGTCCTAGCTGAATGACAGGGTAGCAGAGACAGTGAAATATTATTTTTGGCACTTTTTTAGTGTTATCTATTTTTGTCGATAGAAAAATAAATCCCAAAATCCAAAGGGAAAATATATATTTATTTGCACTTAGTGTTCAGTAGTGAAGTGCACGGGTCATTTGTTAGTGGATGAATGTGGGCAAGTTACTTTACCTGTCCATGATATAACTCCTTATGCATAACGTGGGATGAATAACATGTCTACTCATAGAGTTTTTCTGAGGTTCAAATTAGTGTACACATGTAAAGTGTTTATAATGGTGCCTAGCACTTAGTAAGTCATCAGTTAATATCAGCTGCTGTTACATTTTGTAAAAATAGTAAAGCCGTGTGTAGCGGTCCGTTCTCACGCTGCTATGAAGAAATACCCAAGCCTGGCTAATTTATAAAGGAAAGAGGTTTAATTGACTCACAATTCCACATGGCTGGGAAGGCTCAGGAAACACACAATCATGGCGAAAGGGGAAGCGGGCATAGACCTTCTTCATATGGTGGCAGGAAAGAGAAGAGTGAATGAGTGAAGGGGGAAGAGCCCCTTATAAAACCATTGGATCTCATGAGAAGTCACTAGCACAAGAACGGCATGGGGAGAAACTGCCCCCATGATTCAATTACCTCCACCTGGTGTCTCCCTTGACAGTGGGGATTATGGGGATTACAATTTAAGATGAGATTTTGGTTGGGCACACAGCCAAACCATATTACTGTGTAAAGAACTTACCACTTTTAAGAATAGTTAATATTAATTGACATACAGTATCTGACCATTTATTACTTGGAAAACTCTATCTGCACTATCTCATTTGACCTAAATTATCAGGTAGAAACAATTATGATCACAATTTAAAAGATGAGAAAACTGAAATATAGGGAAGTTTTTTAACTTAAGTCTCATCGATATAAATTATATGAAATGATTTAAAAAGGTGTGTCTGAGGAGAGGCAGCATAACTAATTAGCATAACTAATATGCGAAGCCTTTCTGGACTCAGTTTTGGACTATGTAACAATTACACAAAATTGGAAGCCTTTTAAATGCCTTTGGGAATAATAAATAAAGAGTTGCACCTGGATTTCATTTTTACCGTAATCAAATGTTTTATATTAGGTATTTTGGAAAACTACTGGAATGACCAGCAAGATTATAATAATAATTCTGGAGCCACTTTACTATTATTGTCTCATTTATACCTCTCAGCAGAGGCTGGAGCACATGGGGACTATGCCATTCCCATAACCATATGTTTTACCACCTTGCTCTTTGTCCTGTAGATGAGCAAGCAAAGAAGCATACAAAGAGCATCCTATAAAAGAGCACGAACAAAGACAATGTTTGAGGAGCTCTGTTCTTTGGTCTTCCCAGAGTAAATATCAGCAATAGTAGGAAAAAGTGTTTAAAACACGTATGAGGGGAAAAAAAAAAACTACAGGAACGTCAATTACAAATGATTATTTTCAAAAATAAAACCTTCTAGCTTTTAACTAGTTTATCGCAGAGCTAAACCAATACAGTTTCATGCCTCATAACAATTTAATAAATATTACTAAAATATGGCAACTGCTACCATGGCTCATTAGCAAGCTGTTGGTGTAATATAAAGTTATCCAGAATTGTTTTGGGTAGTTGGTTTGTCAATATAATGCACACAGTAATCTCTGAAGAAAGTCAGGAACATATGGTCCATGTTCATCAGCTAACCCCAGGGGACTGCACCAGAATCTCTCTTCTTACAACTACATGACGTTGAGAGGAGAGCTTGAGAGAAGATAGGGAAAAAAAGAATGGGTGGAAAGAGAAACATTGATTACTCAAACCATAAAATCACACTTGCAAGCATAAATCAAGAATCACAAAGCTAACATCTTCAAGGAATCTGTTAAAATACAAGTTGAACATTGTAGCATCAGAAATTCTCAGAATATGAATTCTGAATCTTGCTTGGCACACAGCTAAAGTTAATCATTTCAGCAGCAGCAGTAAAATGCTGCATATAGCATGCTACTGGCCAACATAAATGAATCTAATGCCATCTATTTACCAAAATCAAGATTCCTTTGAATATATTTTCAATAATTTATATGCTAAGATGTACATACATATTACACTCTCTCTCTCAAAAGAAACGTCATATTTTCTAATTTAAAGAGACATATCTTGTCCAATTAAATTCGTTTGAGTAGGAAACTGTAGAGTTAACAACTGTCAATGATCATCTATGTATAAGTAGAATTATACACTTTAAAGATTATGTTTATTTAATAACCATCCCTATTTCCTGTAACTGGGCAATCAGACATTTTTTTGACCCAAAATATGACCACTGCATTTTGATAACTCTAACAGCACAAGATGAGGTCTGGCTATTAGAGCCATATAATGATGGGTAAGTATTTTGTTTTCTTGGGTGCTTTCACAGTGTAAATATTATCTCAGAAGTGGGTTTTTAGGGCAATTCAAGTAGGATGCTTAGGAATGTACTTTTCTTTATTTGGAAAATTTTCTCAGATTTCATTTGCTCAGTTTTATACCTATTGATCTTTCATTTTAATTTTATCTAAAAACCTTTCAGTTTTGCAGTGTGTCACAAGTCTGTGTAAGCTGCAGCTTCAGCCATCTCTTCCATGCAATGTCAATCTTGGGTCGTGTGAAGCATGTGGCTTTTTGGAAATTTTCTAAGTAATGTAATTGATGCAAAAAAATCAAGGATATATATTTTCAATAGCCAAGATAATAGATACATAATCCTTTCAATTAAAATTTGTGTTAATTCAAGGAAGGGTAGGATCAGCATATATATTATGTGTTTATCAAGAATACTCTCCTGAGAAAATTCATGAAATGAGAAGTAACAGGGAGAAAGTTGAAACATTGCTATAACATATCAAAATGAGAGGCTCTGCATAAATGAATTTATAAGAAAACATTAAAATTGCCAAGTATAAAGACTTTACAGATACAGAGTTAATATTACCTTTATGTAGACATTTGAGGCTTGGCCAGGCTCTCCTCAATGAGTCTATTTTAAGGTAAAGTTATTAAAGTCCGGCTCCCATCTCACAGATATTATTTGAAGTTGTTTTATGTGGAAGCAGCCTGCCTCATGTGATTGCACTGTGAAGCTCTCCAGCTAGAAGGCGGCTATGTGACTTGAAATTTAAATATAAAGCAAATTCAGTCAGGTGCCAAGGTGCCAGCCTGCTGGACCACCATATTGGGAGGAAGGAGAAGTGGAGGGCAGGGGGTTGAATGGAGATTGGGTTGTGCGAAAGAGAAGATTTCAAACTTTGGGGCTGGAAGAGCACAGGGTGCTGCAAGAAGCAATGTGTTGGGCTGAATAATTCATGATGCAGTACTAATTTTGACTCTGGAGAAAATTGCTTTCTCACTGTGCCAAAAGCTAGGCAGTGAGACCAAAAATCAAAGAGGAAGCTAAATGGAGGGGAGAAAACACCCTAAATCAACACCATATCAAATTGACAAACTGTTTAAGGCTGCAAAATGTATTGTCAAAACATGTGAGTAGATATTTTAAACCTTACCTAAAATTGAGCATATTTATGCCTACTTATTTTGAGCAATAATAGGTAGATATTAAATAATTATTTTCAAAAGTAGCTCCTTGATATTAATGCAGAGAGTTCCAGTAAGGAAGTAAGCATTTGCATTTCATTGGAACTTGGTAAAAAAAAAAAAAAAGGCTGCATATCTTGGTATAGTGTAAGAGATCCATCATCATTTTGTACTTACAGAATCATATGGGTGCCAGAAATGACCTTTTGAGCTAATTAACAGAGCTGCCATAAATATGGAACTTGATAAATGTTAATATTTATTGGATTCCTAAAATCCAGATGGTCTTCCTTGTCTTTTCATTCTCTTTGGAAGATAATATTAAAATAAGAACCTTCTAAAATGCAACCTTAGGCATCTTTTCAAAGTCTCATTTAATTCTTTTCTTTAATGGTTAGGAGGACTTATGAGCATTTCTGAGGAAAAGTCGCTGACTGCCTCTTAAGCCTTAACCAAGCTTTAAACTTTAGGGATTTCCACTCAGATTTAACAACATTGAGAATTTTGGTCCTAGATTTCTTTTTCTTTAAAGAGTTCTTTAAAGAGTTAAAGAAACTTCTGGGCAGGAAAATACAGGAAGCTTAGAATGAAGATGGTTGAGGTGTTGTCTTCCTCCTCTTCTTTCATTTTGTTTGTTTTGCTTTCAAGAGAAAAGCCAGATACAGCTCTGGGGAGTCGAAAGGCATCCTTGGCAAAGAATGCAATCCCTCCAGAGGCTGAATAAGCGTGCACAGGATGAACTCACAGATAGCCACGCCAGTCTCCCAGAGCAGAGCTGCATTTCCAAAAATTCACTTTCTGGCAAAGATGAGGATTTTCCTGTAGTGGTTTGCATTGCTGAATGGGGCTGAAGAAACACCAGTCTTCAGGACTATTTGGAAATTATAGTTAACAAAATCTAGAGAGCCATGAGCAATCCAAAGTAAAATTCAGTTGAGTGTGTAGAGCCTTCCACATGAGAGGGCATGGTATGTAATTTGCTTCACTTAATACAGATTTTGGAGACAGGGCAGCAGGCTGGTGCACAGGGCATATTTTAGAGGGACCATAACACACCCCTATACTAGAAATGCAGTGTACTGTGTCTCCTCACTAGAAACCTAAATACAGCCTCTGAAAGGCTTGTCCCTTGGGTGACAAAGATTGCTGAGGTTTGATGGAGTGCTGTGCTCTCAGTATGGAGTAGGGGGTGGTGGAAACAGGAGGCATATATTTTAGTTCTAGGACCTCCCTACATTTACGAGTTCTTTGACTTTGGACCAAGTCATTTCAGTTTGCTTGGCTTTCTTTTCCTCATATGTAAAATGATCATTTTATGTTAGTTTGAACCATGGGAAATAGCTGATATTTGACTAACCTATAAAAACAGCAATTTCACATGGTTCAAACTAATAAATGCTCTTGAGACTTGTTCTGAGGAGCAAAGAAGCACCTCGTTGTAGATAAACACATGCATGTAAATTGTGTCCTCTTCCTGCTCCAGTTACATCATCTATTGAACATTTTGTGGAGTTTCAATGAGATAATATTTGGAAAGCAAATAGTAGCACTCAATAAAAGTCAGTTTCTCTCATCATGATTCCACACACTTTAATTTCAACTACTGTTTTGAACTTAACACTTCTCCAGTGTTTTACAATTTACAAAGTGCTTTCGCATAAGTTAACTGTTTATGTGATTTTTGCAACCCAGTGATAAGACAATGAAAGTTCCAAAAAAGTTGTCACTTGGACTGAATTATCCAGATAGGTAGTAGGATATTGCACGTCGCTGAGTACAACATATGGTCATTGCCCAATACCGATGTCTCTAAATTAATAAAGGCAAAGTGGGCATGTAGGCATGTCACTATCTAGTCTACTAATCAGAAACAGATCAGTGGTCTTTAAATATTTTGATCACACAACTTTTTATGTGATAATATTTGAAACATTAATATATGTGCCATTTATCTATTTAGTATACATTTTCAGTCTCTATAAATTATATATGCATGGCAGATGTAACATCTGATGTGCATTATGAAACATACGTAAGTAAAACCTTTTAAAGGAAAATATTTAAAAAGTAAATATATTGCAAGTCCTAATATTTTCTCCCTGCATTCCAAAGGATTGCACAATTGCAGCTTTTTAAATTGAGATGCAATTAGCACAGACTGGTGGATTTCTATGGTCTTTATTGCCCAGGCCCTACTTTCGGTTCCCAGGAACAAGAAAGTTTTGGGATTTGTGATCAAGTCAGACCAGCTTCCAAGCTTAGTGAAGCTAGAACATAAGCATGCAGCTTATAAGGGAGGACCCAGGTAGAGTGGTAATGAGAGCCTTACTTGTAGTCAGAGCACTTACTATCCAAAACTGTGGCCTCATGCAGGGCACAAGCACCCTCAACCTCAATTTCTAATACGGGTTTATTTGAGGAGTAGAAAAGAATAAAATACAGGTTGAACATCTGTAATCTGAAAATCTAAATCTGAAATTTTTCAAAACTATAAACTTTTTGAGTTCTGGCATGATATCACAAGTTGAAAATCCCACATCTGACCTCATAGTCAAAACACAGTCAAAACTTTGTTTCATGCACAATAAATATTACATAAAATTATCTTCTAGATTTTGTGTATAAGGTGGATATGAAACAAAAGTGAATTCTGTGTTTAGACTTCAGTCTCATCCTCAAGATATTATGTATGTGTATATATTCCAAAATTCAAAAGGAAATCCAAAATCTGAAACACTTGTACTCTGAAGCATGTTAGATAAATGATATGGAACCTCAACCTGTATTCTATTGAAAGCACTTGCTAATCTATAATATACTATAAAATATAAGGTATTATCAATGTGTTTATGTTTACTGTGTATCCCAGCATTTTAAATACTGTAGGCACACAGCATGAGTTTAATGAATGAATGAGCAAAAACATTAATTAATTAAAAATAATACATTACCTTACTATGTCACATATGCTATTTCCAGAAACAGAAGACACAACAAAATATGTTTTCAAAGCAAGTTTTTTTGTTTTGTTATCATTTTATATAATAGGAATCTGGAGGTAAGTAGCACCAGAGTCGGCTTATTCGACTGCTCAAACCCATTGGTAAGAACCCTGGTTCTGTCTGTCTTCCACTGAGCCACGTGGAGGCACTGGGCTCTTTCTCTTTGGCTAGATCTACTGAATTTCTCAGACGCTGCCACAGTTCCAAGCAGCTATGAAGATGGCAGTGTCTGGAGGCATTGGAAAGGGAACATTCTGTTCTGACAAAGTGTTTTTTTAAAAGAAAAGAGGCCAAATATTCACTGAGACTCCCTTCCCCTTAGGCTCAGTGGCTGGTAGTATGTCGTAGCCCATTATTTCACTAGTCCAGGACAAAAGCAATGATGCTAATAGGATTTCTTTATCTTGAGTTTCATGTCTTAGGGTTGGAGAAGGGACCAAGCCTCCCCTGAAAGCTGAGGGGTTTATGGTCAAGAAGAAAGAGTAACTATGGCCACCTTTAGGTCACCAGCCAATAATACTGCTTCTCTATCCTGTTCTGCTGTGACATTTGTCCCAGCAGGTGTTCCAGTCTGTCCTACAGTAGTGAGACCACCTGATATGGTGAGGAAGGCAGGTAATTGATCTTACTCCATCATATCATCACATCTATTTCCACCCCCCGCCCTTGGAGACAAGGTCTCACTCCATCATTTAGGCCGGAATGCAGTGGTGCAATCATAGCTCATTGTAGTCTCAAACACCTGGGCCCAAGTGATCCTCACTGTAGTCTCCCAAGTAGCTAGGACTACAGGCACATGCCACCACACCTGGCTAATTAAAAAAAATTTTTTTTGCACAGAGATGGGGGTCTTGATATGTTGCCCAGGCTGGTCTGGAACTCCTGGCCACAAGTGATCCTCCCACCTCAGCCTCCCAAAGCACTGGGATTACTGTTGTGAGCCACCATGACCAGCCCCATCACTTCTTTTGTAGGTTTGTATTTGTTTTTATTTTTGACAAAGACTTTTATTTCACGGTGACTTCTTCACAAGTTTCCTCAGATGCTAGTCTGAACAAAGGAGAGCAGGGAACTAGAAATGTAGACTTTCTGTTTTTTCCAGCTATGGCATCACTGATCTCATCCATCTTACTAAAGTTTGTGCAGTCTTGATCATTCCCCATTCCCCCAACATGATGGCAAATACCAGTTAAGTACTCATATCTAAAGAAATCCTTTATTAACAGGAAGTTAATTAAGAACATGTACATCTCTGACATTCATCATTACAATGAGTAGAAATTAATTTTTTCAATTTCAGTTAAATTTTATTCAGCAAAAAGCTTTAACCTCTTATAATAAGATGTGAAGAATTATGAGAAATTATTTGCTGTATTTCTGGAACGAATGCATTTAATAATAGGTCAGATGAGCAAAAATGGTTGTAATTCAAATTTGAATAGAGAATTTCTTCGGTGATAGCAAATGGAACAATATGGCTTTTATAAGTAATATTTTGATTTTAAATTATTTAAAATATTCAGATGCTATTCTAGTTTTAATCCACTTTTTGCTTTCTTTCCCAGCATCCTCTGAAAGTTTATATGCTAGAGGTCTCTCCTTCAGCCACTCCTTGATCATCTCCAATTAGAAATCTATTTATTTTTCATCAGAAATGATCAATGCTACAAGTCTGATTAATATGAGTGGTGTGTATATGTGTGTGTGTGCACATGAATTTTAGACAGTTTTCTGCAGAATCATCTTCTGTTACTATTTTTCAAGACAATACTATGACAAGCCAATGTGTTCTGAATAAATTATGCAATCGATGGGTGAAGCAGGCATTTGCTTTCCAGTATTATACATCCCAACTTGTATCACACAGGCAGACTTCTGTTGACAACACTATTGACCTATATATGAAACTTTGAAACTCTGTTTTACATTTACAAAATTTGATATTTCTGATATTCTATGGGCTTCACTTTTTGACATCATGCCTTTGTACTTTTATGCAATTTGATAATTATATTCAGCCCTTTATAAATAGTTAAAATAATGTTTAATCATCTATGGTAAATGTGTAAATTCCTTACTACACACTTTCTGATTTTGTGTGTGATTTGTCAGGAAAAATTCGTGGTTTGTTTATATTTTTTATGTTTTCCTTTTTTTTTTTTTTTTTTTTTTGAGACAGAATTTCTCTCTTTTGCCCAGGCTGGAGTGCAATGGCGCGATCTCGGCTCACTGCAACCTCCGCCTCCCAGGTTCAAGCGATTCTCCTGCCTCAGCCTCCCAAGTAGAGTAGCTAGGATTACAGGCACACACTGCACACTGCCACTACTGGCTAATTTTTGGTATTTTTAGCAGAGACAGGGTTTCACCATGTTGGCCAGGCTGGTCTTGAACTCCTGACCTCAGGTGATCCACCTGCCTCGGCCTCCCAAAGTGCTGGGATTACATGCACGAACCACTGCGCCTGGCCTTTTTTTTTATGTTTTCTACACAAGACCAGATTATATTTTTTAGAACTAAGGAAAAGGAGCACTTAGAAAGTGTGGAAAATCAATGACCTTGCAATTTGATATATACTCTGGAGTATACTCTGAAATCTCAATAGTTTACAGACAAGATAGTAGAAATTAGAAAATACATTTTATATATATGTGTGTGTGTGTGTGTGTGTGTATGTGTCTCTATCTATACATATACACACACATATATGCACATATATGTGTGTGTGTACACATATGTATACATATGTATGTATATATCTGGGTGTGTGTGTGTGTGTGTGTGTATAGATATATATAGATATATATATATATATACCCTTGTGCTAAGGGATATATTTTCTAATATGTATTCATGTATTTTTATAAATCTTAAATTTTCTTCAGTCTCATAGCTACAGACTCTGTAATGTTTTTTGTTAAACTGAAAATAATCATCTCTGGTGAATCTTTCTAAACTGTGTATTTCTAAATGTTTTTACCAGTATTATTGTGTTTTTGGAATCACATTACTTTTTAGTGTAGTGATAGCAAGTATAGCGAGTTAATGCTTTTTTTAAATTAGCAAATTAATGTGAAGATCAGATCTCAAATATCAGGTTGTCTGATCTTATTCAGTATGCCATTTGGCTTAAGAAGTTCTCATTTTGTTTCTGCAGTTCACTCATACTGAGCAAATCTAGACAAAACAAATCCTGTTGCTCACTTGGAATTTAGATAATTGTTTCACAATTCAAAGAAAGAAGTTAATTAGCATGACTTTTTTTCAATTAAAAGTTATTTATTAAATTTTCTTTCCTGAAACTGTTCATTTCCTAGGAAGGTCTAGAATGGAACAAATATAAAACTAAGAAACAGCAGCTTTTACTCCATGTGACAAGGTTTTGTTGAGGGTGCCTGTGGGGCTGGCCATATTTGTCATGTGTGTAATGTGGCTGTGCCTCTGGCAAGCTGTAAGCTGGTAGTTAGTGTGGAGTCTGCATTCCAGCTACCTGGGTGCCATCGCTCTTAACACACTTCTTAGCTCAGATGTTCCAATATTTGTTCTCCTGACCTACAACATTAGGACCACGTGGGAACTTGCTAGATTCTGAGGCTCCCTCCCAGACTTTCTAAATTAGATACTCTGAGGGTGAGGCCCAGAATCTGTGTTTTAATGTGCTCTTGAGGTTATTCTGATTCCACCTAATGCTTGAGAAGCACTGCCCTAGCTTCTGTCTTGGGCAACACTCCTGAATCAGTGCCTAGCTTTTCCCAGCTGTAAAATGTAAAATACAACATTTTTCTCGTAGAATTATTGTGATAATTCAAGAAAATCATGTAAAGTTATTTCTGCAATAGTTGCCTAACAGATAGAGTGCTCTAAGGACACTGAGCGTTCTTCAAAAGCAGTATGGCCTGTGTGCTCCCATGTCTGAGCACATTTGAAAACCAGCCTCTAAAATTACACTTCCTCCTCTATCAATGATTGCAGAATCGAATGTTGCAAATGCATGGCAGTAATACATCCTTTGAAGAATGAAGTGTTATTAAAATTTCATTCCATAATATTTGTATTAGTTTTGTATTACTCAAAAGGCCTATCTTATTTTACTTTCTTAATGAAATTAATTTTTATTTCACTATGAATATTTTTTTCTAGCCCCTACTTTCATTTCCAAATTTTCTCATTTTCTTTTTAGTCTGGATATTTCCTAGATAATTTATTTCAACATTCTAGTACTGTATAATCTCAAATACCCAAAGAAAATACATTTTTTGAAATATTGATGAACTAAAACCAATAGGTATGAATGAGTCGATCCTGTGTTTAATCTACATGTGAGATATCACCTATTCTATTCCATGCAAATAGGAAGGTAAATATGATGAAGTCATTAATAATAACGAAATAAGGCTATTTTATATAAGAATTTAGGTTATGTCCCATACAAATTAACAGCATAATATTACGTGATTAGTCTTCCTGATACTAATATTTTCCTAATTTATTCTTTTCACCAGCTGCATTAAAATTCACCGCAAAGATTCAGTCCAAGGTTCTCACAGGGAACTAAAGGTTAAAATGTGTTTGTTAGCCAATATACAAGACTCTGTAATCTTATATACTACATTGGCAGGGACTGTTGGGATTCAGTTCTGTTCAGCCATGGAGGACACACTCTGTGTTGCCCTGAGACTGTGGAAAATACAGCGTCTATAACATATCCCCTTCTTACAGAGGTATGCATCTTTGAACTCAGAACTCTCCTTTGCTACTCTCATTCAAGACACTGTACAGCCCAGAACTTCCAGCCTGTGGGTTTTTCTCACCCCCTTTCTCTGCCTGAGCCCTCTGCTCAGGGTGGGATTTTCATGATCTCCCCACATATCTTTCTTCTTCTGTCTCTGCTTTTCCTCTCTTCCCAAAGCTAGAAAGCCATCTCCTAGCTTAATTACCACCTCCCATGATCTTGTCTATTTGTTGCTATTAATCTGACCTTAATAAAAGTGTTTCCTGAGATTTCACCTTATGGACATTTGGATTCAAAGTAAGGGCTAGAAATGGAGAGTTAGACGAAGGATAGATGAGCTGATTGCATCTAGGGAAGTCAAGGAGTTGGGCTTGCATTGCAGAGAATGGCTAAGAAAGGAGACCAATCTATGGGATACTTAAAAAACCTATTAAATCTGAATATCTGAGTTTGTCCATTATTAGAATTCTTTCACTAAGTGCTTCTTAAAATGATCAAAGAAACGTTTGGGATTGTGAGAAAAACAGAAACATTGTCCTGTGCATATATTAAGTGTGCTATATCAAATAATATTTCATCTTTAGCCATCAGTAACACATTTGTTCTTAGTATATATATGTCAATCTAAAAAGGGTTTCTCAACCTTAACATTATTAAATTTTTAGGTTAAATATTGTTTTGTTTGGGTGTGGGCCGCCCTGGCATTGCAGCTTCTCTAGCCTCTACATACTAGATGCTGGTAGCTATGTGACCCCTCAAAAAAATTTTTTGGCAATAAAAAATATCTTCAGACATTGTCAGATGTCTTCTGGGGGGCGTAGTCATCCAAACTCGAGATTCGCTGGTCCAGACTGTAAAAATTATCAAACTACTCTTGGGAAAGATGAATCTATTTTAAGATCCACTTGCAAGCTACATCTACATAAATGTCCATTAACCTTTAGTACTTTGTGACCTGATTTTGTGTTTCTTCTTGCATGATTATTTTTTGGGCCCTCAATATATATTTGTTAATTCTATTTCTTCAGTTTCTCTAGATGCTTTATCTGGCCAAATAGTGTATCATAGCAAATTAGTTCTAGAACCTCACTTGTCTTAATATTAGTTAATTGGAATTAATATTTGTTAATTCTATTTCTTTCATTTTTCTAGATGCCTTATCTCGCCAAATAGTGTATCCTGGCAAATTAGTTCTAGATTCTCAATAGTCTTATTATTCGTAGGTACACAATAGTCCAATGCATTAAAATGACTTTCCTTTTAATAGTTCTACGTGAATAAAAATGTATTTCCTGGCAAATTTCACCTCAATGCTGCAAATCCATTGAAAAAGGGAATAATACAGTATCACGATACAGGGAGAAAAACTTAGAAACACAATAAGATATACATACACACAACTTTACGAGAGTAAATAATAAGTAAAGATATATATGTATACACACACACATATACTGATACAGATCACTGCAAGAAAATCACAAATACCAAAGTCAACCAGAAGACGTGAGTAGAGAAAAATAGACAACAAAACAACAAATAATGCAAATTAAAGTGAGATAATCATTTTGCTGTCAAGATAGGAGAAAAACCAAGAGTGGGAAGATATTATGATTCTTCAATCATGTGGGCATGTATCTTTACTGTGTGTGTGTGTGTGTGTGTGTGTTTATCTGCTGAGGGCCTTTGAATACTCTTTCCTTGCTCAGAACAAATAGACAAATATATAATTAAGGCACCTAACAATACAGACCATATTTTCAGGGATATAGCAACTAAAAGGTCTTAGGAAGGCCAACTCAAATCCAAGCACATGGATTCCAGCTGGGGACAGGAGTGAAAGGAGTGGATTTCTTGTGTCTGTGAGCCTAGAGTGAAAAACAGCTTCAGGAAACCTTCACTTTGTTATGTATGGGATGAAATTGAAATCAAGTGTATTGTGTTAGGGGGATCCTACAGGAAGAAGATCTGGGAGATTTTTCTTGAGGTTTGGGGGCAGGCATTTAGCTGAGGGTGGACATTGAGGAGAATCTGGAGGGCTTTTATTAGAAATATGCTTCCATACCTTGCAAAAAACTCCAAAATATCACACCTGTTTCTCAATACCACATGCTTTGTACATGCCATATAACTATTTTTGATTACCAAATTTCATTTTGAGTTTTGATACTAGTTTTAAAATTACAGTTATAGCTGAGCATCATAGCCTGTAGTCCTAGCTACTAGGGAGACAGAGGCAAGAGGCTTACAACACAAGCCTGGACAACATAGTGAAATCCTATCTCTACAAAAAAATATTTAAAAATTAGTCAGGAATGATGACTTGTGCTTGCAGTTCCAGCTGCTTCAGAGGATTGCTTGAGCCCAGGAGTTGGATGCTGCAGTGAGCTATGATCATACCATCACATGCCAGCCTGGGTGACAGAAGAAGACACTATTGTCTCAAAAAATAAAACAACAGTTGTTCAGGATCATTAGGAATATATTTAATCAATGCTTTTTCAGAAATGGTGGTTTAAAAATAAGTAGGCTAGGAAGGAAGTCCTAAGTAGGTATTCTGGTCTCAGACTTGTGCTTCCTGCAACACCTTTAATATCTATAAAATAATTAGAGTTTTTGATTGTGGAGTAGGCTTGATTTGGAACTGAGGATTTTTTTCTAGACATATATTTTAATTTGAGTTTCACTCACTGCCAAAAAAAAAAATTGGCAAGACAGAGAAAGAGGAAAAAAAAAAAACAGGCCACAAAATGTAAAAGTCAAAAGCAGTCATTCCAAATTTGTGTCTTATATATTCTCTCAGACTTTGCTGTCTTCTTTATGTTTCAACATTTTTCAGATAGCATCATTAATGAACAGCCTTCCAGCCCCCCTCCATAATGCAGCTTTTTGATCCTAGTGCCCAACTGGCTTCAATCAATTCCTCTGACCATGCAGTTTATGACTCTACAAAACCTGCCAGGACTCGTTTCCTTAGTATTAGATGCAGGCAGGTAGAAATTGAGAGATGATTCCACATAATGCTCATCAAAGCAGAAAAAAATCAAACCTAATGCACAACAGGGTTACAAAGAGAAAAAGTTAAGCAGTCTGTATTAAAAACAAAAGGAAATAACAGGGACAGAAGAAAAAGAGAAAATAAAACAAGTGATTTCATGTAGGTGCTATAGAATCTTTAACCAAACCACAGGCTCTGATGAATGATCTCTTCTGCCTGAGACTCAGGACTGTCATGGTCCTTATGTCCAGGAAAAGAGCCAGCTCTTTTATTGAGTTGCCAAGAGTTGTCACTGAAGCCATCCTGAAGTTTCCTTGCTTCTAGTTAGATAGGAAGAGAAACACAAATACATTCTCCCTCGGGACGGACACTTCCAAACTAACCACTCCCATCCAGTGGTAACCTACTCCCAAATCCTCCAGGTGGCCTACTACACCCTGCTTTCTTCTGCTTGCAGTTGCCTGACATGACATTGCTCACCCTTTCTTCTTGTAAGTGTTACCTTTTTCTGTGTCCCTTTGTTATAGATGTTTGGCCTATAGTGGAAGGGCCTTACATTTGTGTCACATAAATCATGTCATGTTATTCAGCCCATTACATTTTATGTCAAGTAATACCTTATGGTATTTTACCTTTATCAATATAAAACAAATTTCTTTTGTTTTAAGTTTTTGCCCTAAACTTCAATATTATCTGGTGATGGAGTGGTAAACAGGCTCTTCATTCATGGAGCTTATAATCTAGTGTGAGTAATAGAATAGAACAATTTCTTAAATAAATCAGGAGTTAACGCCGATTGTGATGAGAACTCAGGAGAAGTGTAAGGTATGTTGGAAACAAGGAGCATAAGTTGGATGAGCGATTTAGACAAGTATTCCATATGGGACAGACAGTTCTGCCTGTCTGAAGGACACAAAGGATGTACCAAGGTTATGTTTCTAGACCCAGTTGATTAGACCCCTGGGTTTCTGCTCTTGAGACATTGCCAGAGGCCAAATTAGGCCAAGTCCCTGGGTGTGTTTGCCTCCTGTAGGGCATTTCTAAAACCAATTACTACCTTCAGATCAAGAACATTTTCTCTTATAACATCTCTTGAATTGTTTGGGTTCTCCTTTTAAGAATAACAAGTCATCCCTGCAAGCTCTTTATTTTCTGTTCTCTGTATCCACCGTGTTTTCCCTATTTTTGTTTCTTTGTTCTTTTCTTCTGAATTCTAGGTAGACTTAAGTTGGTCTTCCAAATTGTTGGCATCAATCTGGCTCTTCAGTGCCCCAATGTGGATTTCTAGTATGATTTTCCGTGGTAATTTTCTGTATGTCACATATACTTTTTACATCCTAATATGTGGCTTTATTTTCCTGTCCTGTTCTCTTCATTTTGCTTTTGGCTAGCTTGTATAGAAACATGTTATTTTTGCATTTGTATGGAAGTCATGTTGCTTTTGAATTGTAACAAAATTGAAATTTTCTTCTGGATCCTGCAGTAGATTAGCAGAAAATCTTCTTTTTGAGAAACTTAAGTATTTCCTCTCAGGATTTCTTCAGTTAGCAATTCACTAGGAAACAGAACCCGAAACAATTCTTTCAGTGTAGATTCTTTATTGAAAGGCAATGCATGGGACAGCCAGAACAACCCTGTCTACTCCAAAGGGGAGAACAGTCAGACGTGCCTGCAGCCAGCCCCAGCAGCTGCAGCTGGAATGCCGGAGAGCCAACCAAGGGTCTAGAACATGGATAAAGCTGAGATAATCTCAGGGTGTGTGTGTTACTTTGAATGTATCAGAGTACTTAATTTCTCAAAAAAACATATCACAAGACAGGCTGTCTGTTCATATAGGTAATAGTCTGCACCCTAGATCTGTATTTGGAAGAAGCTTTTCTACAACTGCAGGCCAATTGCTATTCCTGGTGGGTATTTACTAACTCACTTCTGCTTCACCTTGGCCGCTTTTCCCCCTGGCCTATCAACTCAGTTGGAGAGAATCAGAACTGGACATTTTGAACAATGGAAAAAATTGATTTCCTCCTAAATATACTACTAGGGTTTTTGCTGCCTTTGTGCACTCAGAATGCAGTGTAGTAATATTCCAGCAACCACCCCAAACACACACACACACACACACACACACACACACACACACACATACACACCACCCACGTTCTTCTGGATGCCCCACTAACATATACAGGCACACACTTCACAGACACACACTCCACGTGTTCTGCCTAATTTCTTGGTATTCTTTTCTCTTATAAATGTAGTCAACTAGCAGGAGGGCAGGAATACCAAGGAAAAGGAACCAGAATTCTGGCGCTTCCAGAAAGCAGCACCTTAGGGCTATAGGCACAGCTATTATTTTTTGGCCAGATCACAACCTGTAAGAGATACAAAGTGAGTCTGTTTCCTTTTCTACATAACCTCTGTCTTATCATGACAGAAAATGTTGCCGGATTCTGGGCCAAAGTATGAAACAGCATCAGAAAAGCCAGTTGTGTCATCTATCCAGGGATGCCACCATGTGAGAACAAGGTCCCCTAATATTCTAGAGTGCCTGGCCTCCATGCAGGGACAATTGTGTATTTATTTACAAGAATGTGAGCACCAACACTGCAGAGTTTAGGCATTTATGTTCATTGCCGTATCCTCAGCACTTACAACAGAGCCTGGATTCTAGGAGGTGGCTAATACTTTATTTTGGTGAAATATTTGATTAGAGCAGTTATGTGATTATTGGCTGTCTTCCCCTAGACTAGGAGTTCCCTGAAGGCAGCACTATACTCTTTTCTTTGCCAGGTTATCTTCTGCTTCAGGTACAGCATCTAGAACATAAAAAGTAAATACATATCATTTTATGAATAAAAAAGCACTTTTAGAATGCAGAAAGCAGAATGACTAGTAGTATAGCTGTGTTCATGTCTGCCCCTCAAATAAACTAAGTGACCTGACGATAGTGACTCTTGTATTCATCTTTGAACTTCTGACAAACCCAGCACAATTCTTTTAAGTAAGTCCTTGCTTACTAATTATTTGGTTGAATAAGCAAACAAATGGAAACATCCATAATATTAGCAAATATGATGCAAGACATGAAAAGCCTTATGCATTGAAATCTACATGACTTAACCCTAGAAGGCTGAAGTGATACCACACCAGGAAAATTACTAACTTAACAGAACACATCAAAATAAAACATTGTTCAAATCTATATAATTATCTCAATTGCCAAAAAAGTATCTGATAAAAATTCAATAGCTATTCATCATAAGCACAGTAAAAATCATAGGAAAGAGGGTTTCTTTTTTCACAGGGGAAAAATTAAATGTTTCAACAAGCATTACCTTTAATGTAGAAATATGAGACTTTCTAAAACAAACAAGAATAATATGAACATAGCTCACTTTACCATTGCTGCTACAATTATTTATTATTTTAATAGTAAAATTATTAAATATTAAGGAAAAGAATATTAAAAATAAAATCACCAGACCTCACAATATTCAGTATACTTTTAAAAATGAACTTGCAGGAAAATTGTTGTTTCAAATGTGTTTACTAGGAAGAAAAAAATGCAATTATGTAGGATTATGATTAAGACCACAAAAGATAAGTAAAAATGATACATTAAATGCTAATGTGGGGAAATAGAAGACAAAAGAGATGCATGTTAAAAAATTACAAGTTCTAACTACGGTATTAACACCTAAAATCAGTTGAATATCATTTGCAAGGAAAGAATATCGTTTCTTTAAAAAACATATGCTACTTTTTCTGTTATTACCACTAGAAGCTACATTAATTAGACACTGACATATAATAGGATAGACTCTAAGTATAAATTATTTCTCATGCACATAGCACCTTGATTGGTAGATATTATTGTCTTCTTTCTTCCAGGTAAAAGTAGAGGGTGAGAGGATGCTCAGCAGGTGGAGGAAATATACCAAGCCAGGGCACAGGTTTGGTTCTGAATGAAGGGCATGTTACCCTACAACAGTATGAACAAGAAAACATGAGTAACACAAAAGCACTAGATGAACATATACACAAGCGAACATCCTCACACACAAACATCTAGTACAAATAATTAAACTCAGAGTAATTATCAGTGTGATTATGAGAAAGAGATAACTCATGTCCCACACAGATGTAATTAACTATGTGCAAGGCATTGAGTAAGGTCTTAGGATATTCCTCAGGTTTGGAATCCCCTTCCTGCATTTTCACTTGTTAAAATAAAATCACCAAGGAATATTTACAGTGGAATATTTGAGAGAAAGTTTGTATATAGTTTATTTAGTGTTATTTGTGTTTTAATTCTACTTTAGTGTTTTGTTGAAGTATATTAAGATCACGTGGCATATTTCTGTCATAATGTCATTTAGTAAGCTCTCTCCATACCCGTTTCTTCTACGTTATTAATTTTCTTGTCGAGACTTGTATTACTTTTTTATTGTTGTTTGTTCCACTTAAAATAGGGCCATTTTAGTATCTCCAAAAACAATACTATTTCTAATTTTCTTACATTTTACCCCAAGAATCTATCCATATATTACTCAAAAAATTGAAAAAAGGCAAACTTCCAAACAACATGTTAAGGAAATAAACACACTTCAGCATCCAGTTTTCCCTAAAGGAGAAGCAATTACTCCTGGGATACTAAATGAGATTTGTCTGTGGCTCCTCTTTGAGACCAGTTTTCCTCACCAGGGATGACTTATTCATTTGTACATCAAGGAATTCTCAGCTTTCTTACCACTTCTAGAAGCTGGGGACATTTGATCATGTGTAGGACTCCTTACATTTCTGAAACACATCTCAGAAAAGCAGGTATAGCTAAGCCAACATTTTAGAAGTGCAGAAAGGCATTTTCTGGAGGCACACCCTCCAATGCTGCTTTTGGAGTCCTTGTGAGATTTTGATTTGAATCCTCCTTCTGTACCTATTAGCTATTTGAACACTGATGAGGTACTAAACCTCTATGAACCCTAAGTTTTTGTTTATTATATTAAAAATAATGCTAGCCCTTATATCCTAGAATTGTGAGGATAATTATTAGCAGGTCATATGATAGCAAATATTGACTGGGTTCTTAACACACTTCAGGCATTGTGCATGCTATATGTTTGAATCCATCTTTGTATTTAATGCTAACCACTCTATGAAATAGTTGTTATTTATCTCCATTTATAACTAGGAAACTGAGATTCAAATTGCTCATGTAATTTGGCCAAAGTCTCACAGTTAGTTGTCCAGATTCAAATTCCCCATCTATTGGACTCATAGTCTCTATACTTCCAGGATGGTTTTCACACCTATTCAGTGCTCAATAATTGTCAGTCATCACTGTTGTTATTATTGGGAGAACTTTGAAACACATTTCCCAGAAACTCTCAATTGACAAATGTGGAGCCAAGTCTCTTTTCAAGATAGGAAATTTGTCTTGTCTTTTCTGTATATGTGCTATAACATATTGCTTGCCTTCTTGTGAATCCACTAAGAGTCACATGTTGGCGGTATGTATGACATGTTCATGTCTGTCTCCTTTGTCAGGTCTCTCATGGTCCAGACATGAGAAGGTCATCTTTCCTTATTCTTCTTCCTCATTTCCACCCACTGCAGCTTGTACTTGGGCTGTTTGTATCTTGGTAAGTGCAGGAGCGCTTCAGTTCATCATCACTGCTGCTTTTTCCTCTTTCCACATACTGGATCTTGCATTAATGACTTTAAATTTGGAACCATTCATTCTACTGTGGCTGTTGGGCTTTCTCTGTCTTTATAGAGTCTCATTGCAGGAATACTTACTAAGCTCCTGAAAACTGACACACCCTTGCATTTGACAACTGGCTCATTATTATTATTATTATTATTTTATTGTATCATTTATTGATTTTGAACTTGATGCTGGGTTTGATTAAGGGAAAAAACTTAAAGGGTTTTTCTTTTTTAACTTGCTTATCTTTTGACCTTATATCTAATTTCATCTCATGACAAAGAAGAGACATGAAATGTATTTGAGGTGGTACACTGATGATTCCATCTGAATATTGCTTTGTCATTGTTTTGATTAGAAACAATAAATGGTGTTGACAAACTCTGGGAATGATTTTTATAATGAAAGAGAATAGTGAAAGTGGAGAAGTTTCAATAAATGATTTTTAAATAAAATGCTTTTCTTGAATATAAAAAACATGGTGTTGGCAGATGACATTGTAGGAAATATTACTCCAAGATAGACTGGTAAGCCTTTTACCCTTTCCACTTCTCTGTCACTTCTTGTCTTTCTAGAACATCTCATTACTTTCCTTTATGAATTCTTCCCCCAAGGCTCTGGTGTTAGGGGCAGCCTTCATTTTCCATTTCAGTTCAAGGGACTTACCACTTAATTTAAGTTTCCTCAAGTCTGACCCTCAACTCCAAAGTTCCACTCATCATTTCACTTTTTAGAGCAGAGATCACCTGCATGATAGTGTACCTATTGATGGTCCCTGATGTTTCAGAGGCCCCTACTTGTATATTCAGATGAGAATATCAACAGGGCCTTCCTCACATAACTGTAGGAAAAGGTCAAAACCCAGACCCCATAGAGAGACCTGGGACACTTCTAATTTATGAATGCAATTTTTAAAAAGATTTAAAAATTAAATGCTATGACACAAAATACAATACAATAGGAGTGAGTGATTCACAAGATAGTATGAGTATATATAAACATAAATTTATGTGGGTGTTGTAGAGTTGAATTCAAGTTCAAATTTGGGGCTTTTTGTAAATGTGAGTCACAGATTAATTTCTGACATATTGTACCCCTCATTAGGGATACAGCATTATGATAAATTTCTAAGAGAAAAATAACTAAATCACATTGTGGTCATGTTTTTAGTGGGAATAAAACTTAACCTAGAAGAGAAAGCATGTAATGCTTCATTCAAATATGATATTGATTTGCTGTGTGGCCATGGATAAACAACATAACTTCCCAGGACTTTTTTCATTTTTTTTTTATTGGGGATAGTATTAGTTACCACATTGAATGTAACTGGATATGGTGTAAGGACAAATTAATTTGTAGATATGAAATATATTTGAACTATAAAAGACTTTTGGACTTAAAATGGTAATGATGATACAGCCCCCTTTCCTCATGAAAATTAATTTAAAATAACTAGAAGGAAATTCAACCTTTATTGAAAAGAATCTTTGGCCAAATACTGGAAGAAAGGCTCCAGAGCCCAGTATGCCATTTCAGAAGTAGATGGTATGCCCTTCTGAGAAAACAATCTCTTATTTGCAACAATGCACTCTGTGGCAAGTGCATGCCTGGAAGCCACTGAACGTGATGAAGCAACTGGAGGGTCGGAGGCTGAGTCAGGAGACATTGAGACTTACCACTTGTATGAAAGGAGTCAGACAGTGAAGCAAGCTTCAAGGGAAACTCCTTCGGAAGCAGTCCTGAGTGACATCTCTCTCTCGCCTGGGGAGAATTAAAGGCTAAACTAGATATAGGAATACACTTTAATGCATTTCATGGTCAGCCTCTGACAATTACTGTTGTGCTATATCCCACTCTGACCCTCCTCCCATAGTTCCAAGTACTCACTATATTCAAAGGTAAATTACCAGCATATAGTCTATGAAGACTCACCATGTGTAAAAGGGACCATTGCAGCATAAATACCAAGGTATTAAAATAATTAGAATAGAAAGCAGAATAGAAAGCAGTTGAAAAATATTCACCAGAAAAATTTTGTCATGGAGAAAATGAAATTAATTCCCAAATGTATTACTAAATTAAGCAATAGACATTAACAAAACAATAACTTCTTTGAAATAATGTCTCAAAGCAGACATTTGGGAAACAGAAATTCAGGAAGAAATATAGCAAGGAAATAGAAGGAAATGACTGTTAAGCAGATAAAACAAGAAAATTAGTATATTAGTTTGTTCTCATGCTGCTATAAAGAACTACCCAAGACTGGGTAATTTATAAAGGAAAGAGGTTTAATTGACTCACAGTTCTGCATTGCTTGGGAGGCCTCAGGAAACTTACAATCATGGCAGAAGAGGAAACAACCATGTCCTTCTTCACATGGCAGCAGGAGAGAGAAGTGCAGAGCGAAGCAGGGAAAAGCCCCTTATAAAACCATCAGATCTTGTGAGAACTCACTCAGTAGCACAAGCACAACATGGGGGAAACTGCCCCCATGATCTAACCACCTCCCATGAGGATTACAATTCAAGTTGAGATTTTAGTTGAGGACACAGGCAAACCATATTAAGTATAGGAAAGAATAGTAGAAAAGAATGTTACATCCAAAGTTACATTGGAAATAACCTAAAGGAGAATAGAAACGGAAAATATCAAAAAGCATGTGAACAGTGAAAAAATGAAACAAAATAAATTAACAGTGAGTTAAAACAATTGTCAGGATAGATGAAAATAATCTGTTAGAAAATCCAAACAGAAAAAAGAAAAGTTCAGCATATGCATAAGTGGTGTGCCTGAAAAGGAGAAACGAATATATGGAGAAAAAAAATGTTTAAAGTTACTTTTTCCAGATGTGAAGAAGTTTTGAGAATAAACATTTTTGACTTTTAATCTTTTGTTTGGAAGCCCAACATTATGAAAAAAATTATGCAAAATGATCACCGTCAATATCCTAATCCACTTACCTTTTAAAACACAGTCATCCGTTGGTATCTTCAAGAGATTAGTTCCAGGGCTCCCAGAAGATACCAGAATTCACTGATGCTCAGGTTCTTTGGGGTATGTATTCAGAAACCACCAATATAGAAGGCCAACTAGAACAGGGAATCTTTTGGGGAGTCTGAAAGGAGATCAAATCCTAAACAAAGGGTGACTTCAGAATTCCTCTCAGTAACATTCCACATTAGGAAAAGAACAGGTCAATGCCTTTCCAGTGTTTTCAGGAAAAGGCAGTGTAACCCATGTTCCTAGACTCAGTGAATGTATCTTTTAAAGTAAGGCAACTGACAAACAGTTTTCAACATGAAATACTGCTCAGAATCTAGTTGCCAGATTCCTTTAAAAATATTCTGACAATGAAAATGAATAGAGGAATTACAGCAAAAGAACTGTTGATAAACATTAAATATGTTGAAAATATTAAATATTTCTATCTGCATTGATAAGTAAAAATATTTCTGAGAATTATGTTTACAGAACAGAATGAAAATGTTACAAAGAATAATAACATTGAAATAATTTATCTGATACAATTTAGGATGAAAAGTGGAAGAGAAGGTGAGAGGTGGTATGCATATGGTGAATTCTTCATCTTTTATAGCTGAAGGCAAAAAAATGCCACTCAATGGTGATTTATTAAATAACATAGCATAAACATGCAAAGGCATAAAAATGTAGTAAAAGTGTGTAAACAATTAAAATTAGATAATGCAGTAAGAGAAGTGATTGGAGACTAAGTGGAGGTATAAATTTTGTCAGTATTACAGTGAATGGTCAGTAGATAATAAAGAAATGTAGGATTATAAATATTATATTGGCCAGGCACAGTGGCTCATGCCTGTAATCCCAGGACTTTGGGAGGCCGAGGAGGGTGGATCACCTAAGGTCAGGAGTTCGAGACCAGCCTGGCCAATATGGTGAAACCCCGTCTCTACTAAAAATACAAAAATTAGCCAGGCATGGTGGCAGGTGCCCGTAATCCCATCTGTTCGGGAGGCTGAGGCAGGAGAATCACTTGAACCTAGGAAGGTTCAAGTGAGGTTGCAGTGAGCCATGATTGTGCCATTGCACTCCAGGCTGGGTGACAAGAGCGAGACTCCGTCTCAAAAAAATAAGAAATAAAAAAATATCACATTGTATTTAAAAGGTAACAAAAAAGGTAATAGAAAAACATGAGACCTTCAGATTATTAATAGTAACACAAACAGGCACAAAAAGAACAAAGTGAAATATTGAAAAAAAAAACCTAGTATTATCATGAGGCATACTGAAACACAATATAACTAATTCTGAAAATATCTACCATATTAATAAACGCATTATTTATCAAATTTTAATAAGAAAGTTATTTCCACAAGAAATCAATAGGAATGGATATCTGTGCATCACATAACATAGACTCACATTCCATAATGGAAAATCTACAGAAATTTCAGGGCAAAAGAGAAGAAAACATATTAGTTGCAGGAGACATAATTCAGTGTGTGAAAACTGTCAGTAAAAATTAGTAAGCAAATAGAAGACCACTAAAACATGATTGATTTCAAAATGTTACATATCATTGTGTTTTTCTCCATTAAAGATATGTCTTCATAAATTCTCTAAAATTTTTAGTTAAACAGTTTTCTCTTAAATTGGATTAATAGTTTCTGAATTAAGAACATTTAAAAAATATCTTTAAGAAACTGCTTTCAACTTTATCTTTCAAGTTTTTGGCTACTCACACTTAGTCTTCACTGACTCCTACATGAACTGAAACTCTAAGCATAGGACTAAGAGCAAGTATTATAAATTTGAAGGCCCATTTGCAAATTACTATGGTAGGTCTCTCAGTTTTGCAAAGAATCAGATGTTCAGTTGGCTGGGAGGATATAGAAAGGAAAAATAGAGTCCCTTCTCTCAAAACCCCCAAGTCCAGCAGGGAAAACACACCTTATATATCATAATAAATAGAATATGCAAGATAAGCTCCAGTGTATGCAGGGGGAAAGGGACTTTGGTGGAAGCAGCTAAAAGGATCTTGTAAAAATATAAATTAACGTCTTATGATGCAAGAATCCAGCCTGTTTTAACATGGATTGGATGACTTGCTTATCAGAGACTTGGAACAAAAAATAGTGGATATGGATCACAAGTTTTCTGTGATCTTTGGAGGAAGAATATGACAAAATCCTGTATGTTGTCCTTGGGATACCCTCCTGACATCCCCACTCCCTCTGTGTTGCTTGTGCTTACAGTAGAGATGGCTCTTCTCCTAACAGGTGCTCCTCAAATTCCAGATCTCATTTTGCTGTCTTCTCTCAGGTACCTCAGACTTCTGACCGTTTTTCTGGTTACTAATACAGACTTTCATTGTTTTTCTCTTTTGCTGCATCTATAAATATTATGATTTGTCAGAAATTTTGTTTTGTATACATTTATGAGACAATCGGCCAGATGGGGCTACAAGAGGAGACACAGGAGAGACTCGAGAAAATAAAGTATTTTCTACTCACAGGTCCTAGAGACAGGAGGCATGCCATACATGGCAACATGGGGAAGACCAGAGTGGTCAGGAGGCAGAAACAGGAGCAAGGTAAGTTGTAAGGCATGGCCTTTGTTGGGGTTTCTGAGAGAAGGGTAAGGCAGGATAGGATGAACAGTTTAGGACTACTTTGAATAATTTCTCCAGAATTTGGGAAACAGGAGTGTTCTCTAGTTGCCTGGTACCTGGCCCTGGGTTGCTTAAGACAGAAGAATATTGTTTCCAGGGTATGTGGGCAAGGTAGAGGAAATGTGGCTCTGGGTTGGTTAGTTTGCGTGCTTCAGGCTGGTCCCTTTCCTATCTTAAGTATTGGCGGCTGTTCGCAGTGGCTCACGCCTGTAATCCCAGCACTTCGGGAGGCCGAGGCAGGCGGATCACGAGGTCAGGAGATCAAGACCATCCTGGCTAACACGGTGAAACTCCGTCTCTACTAAAAATACAAAAAAATTAGCCGGGCATGGTGGTAGGCACCTGTAGTCCCAGCTAATGGGGAGGCTGAAGCAGGAGAATGGTGTGTACCCGGGAGGCGGAGCTTGCAGTGACCCAAGATGGCGCCACTGCACTCCAGCCTGGGCGACAGAGCGAGACTCCATCTCAAAAACAAAACAAAACAAAACAAAAAAAGAATTGGCTAGCCTCAAGCAAAGGTGATCTCTTCCCCAGTTAGAAAGATTTTCTAAGATATCAAAACATCACAAGGTACAGAAAATTTAAATATACATTTATCTACAATACAGCCTTGTTCTGGGCCTTCTTTTCCCTCACTTTCTTTCTATCATGACTTTCAATCCAGTAGCCTAAAATGCCATCTATCTTCTAATGACTTGCCTGAGATTCACTCTTGTGTATCTAACTGCCTCTTTGCCCCATGAATTTTCAGATATGTCCAAAACATACCTCTTGGTTCTCCTCCCCACTCTTGCTTCTCCCTCAGTCTTCCCTTTCAAGATAAATGGCACCATCAGCCAACCAGGAGGTCAAACCAGAAACCATTGGCTTCTTTAATTCCATTACTCTTCCCTTCCTATCCCACAAGCACCTACTTACACCCACATTTAAGAACCTTTTAACCATCTACTCATCCACAAAACTTAGTTCTTCCTTCAACAGAAATCTCAAATTCAGCAACTTCCCTACACTTCTGCTGCCACTGCCACTATCACCCTGCACCAAGCAAGCCGCTTTCATCTTACCCCTTTTCTGTCACAGTATCCCCCCATCATATTCTCCACATTTATACTCCTAGCTGCTCTACAAACCATTTTTGATTAATATTGGTAAAACAAACGACAATCACTCCCCGGCTCAAAACCATTCTCATTGATTTCTAGCTGTATTCAGGATGAAACATGCAAACCTTACCAGGGTCCAAATGCCTTCCTAGCATAACCTGTTCACTTCTCTGGTTTTTCCAACATAATTTTTTTCACTCTTCTTTCTCCCCCAACTCACTACGCTCCAATACCAATGGTCTTTTATCAGTTTCTGGAACGTGTTCCTGGTCTTGATTTAAAGGAAATGTAATTAAATAAAGATCTCCATAGAAACACTGTCTCTGTCTACTCTGTCTAAATTATTCCCTTCCTATGGTATTTTCCATTTCAGCAGTTTGTCTGTTTCCTTCAAAGCAGCTGATCACAGTTGCGATTACATTTACTTGTGACCTTATTTTGTGTTTTGTCATCTGGACGTTATGTTCCAGGAGAGTAGGGATAATATGAATGGTTTTCTCACCATCAGATCTCCAGTTCAATCACAGAGTAATAACATTATAGGCAATCAAGGGTAGACACATGCAGGACATACCCAATAAATAATTGTTGAATGAATGATTTAAGTTCAATTTGTTACAATATTTTATTCAAAATAGAGCAATCATTATTAACAAAACATGAAAGAGAAAAATGAGAGAGAGCTACAGCAGGGACAGCATCGTAAAAGTTAACTGGGATTTGGGCTTCTATTAGTGGCTTCAGCTCACTAAGATCTTTATACCAAGTCAAGTCAGGAGAGGCTGGAGAGAGAGCTGAGAAGGCTGGCTGACAAGGCTGTCTACACTCCACCTTACCTGCCATGGTTGTGACCATGCTATGCAGCGGGTCTCCACTGATAACTTTCTTCCTTCAGCCGTGCTTGCCTTGTTACTGTGTAATCGGGATGTGTTTGTATTTCTTATTTTGGCAGAAACACTCAAGAGAAGGGGCTTCATTTTAGTCTCAACTTACAACTGCTCTCTCCAATAATTTTTGTGTGTGACATATCCTAATTAGGCTCAGTGTCTTCCTGCATTCCCAGCAACTTGAGTGACAGATCATTCTATTAAATTTGGGGAGCAATGAGACTAGGGCAGGGGTTGGCCAGCAATGGCCTGAAGTCCAGATCCAGCCTGCCAGTTGTTTTTGTAAGCAACAAATTTTTTGGAACACAGCTGCACCCTTTCATGTACGTATCATTCATGACTGCCTTCCTGCAAAAATATTAGTACTGAGTTGATGGATATTGATGGTGGAGTTCACAAAGCTGAAAAATAACTTACTATCTGCCCCTTTACAGGAAAAGTTTGCCAATGTCTGGACTAGAGTATGAACTTCTTTATTCTGAGCCTTAGATACAGTATTAGAATAGTTTAACTATTTTTCTAACATCTCTATTTATACATTATTAATTAATTTCAGGGAAAATTGGATTTTGTTTACATCTTCCAATATCATTTAGTTCAGACTCTATTATGTTCCAGGCATTTACTTAATCGATAAAGAAAGCTTTTTGTGACCTTTCCATCTCAAGTAATCTCCCACTGCTCTTAAGGCCTATATTGTTTTGCCACCCTAGCACTTTATCTCTCATAGAGCTCTATCTCACCTGGTGCTTTATCTCCCGTAGCACACAGCATTTTGACCTTGTATGTGAATCATACGTGTGCATGGCTAATCTAGCCTACTAGTGTGGCATTGTGTAAAGAAAATTGTATTTTGAGAATGACAGATTGCTAGGCTCTGAGCTGCATACTAGTTGGGATTCTGCCTCTTTTGCTGACCTGGAAAGTTGTCCAGCGTGTGTCACTTGGTAGACGTTTTATCATGCATGAATGAGTCCGCATTATGCCTCTATATTAATAGAGACTTGCCTCCTTGATTTTTGTAGATCACAGTAGAACTGGATCTACAATGAACATTATTTAGCATGGCCCATCCCTGCCACACACACACATAGACACGCACACACACACAGACACAGACACACACACACATACATACACACACACACCCCTCACTCTCACTGGTGTCTTGTGTCCACTGTTTCTAATCATTAAATAGAGGATAGGTTTGGACACTGTACTTTTACAGTCAGTCGTTAGAATCCTAACTCTGTCATTTATTGAGGGACTTTGAACAAGATACAAAAGATGACCTTTAATTTCCTCATCTTTTAAATGTAGCTAATCACAGCCACCTTCCAGTACTGTAGTAGGAAGTAAATGAGATAGCAAGCACAACTGGAAGGAGCTGGCATAGCTCATAACTCACTGTAAGTGGTCAGTAGAGGTCAGTTTTGTTCACAACCAAGGCCTGCGACTTCCACTCCAAAATGCTGAGGGAAACCCTGCTTCTCAGTTACCTGAATTGTAGTCTCCAGGGGTGTGAAAGCCAGGGTGCTTCTTTTAATTTCCTGCTCCCCGTGATTTCAGATCCCCTCATTCAGTCTTTGCCATCCTTGTACATTGCACTACAATCTGCCACAGTGTGGAAGCCAGAACTCTGAGTCATTACTGCTGTTCCCTGCATCCTTAAGGCCTCGGAAATATATCTTTACTCAGTCCACTTCTCACTTAGTTTCTCAGTCATCTGTTTAACCCAAACTATGATTTTATTTTCCCTGGTCTGATTGAAAAATCTTCATCCTGGCCTCCCTCTATCTCCTTCTCCATATGAAAACTAGAACTTTTTTTTTTTTTTTTTTTTTTTGAGACAGAGTCTCGCTCTGTTGCCCAGGCTGGAGTGCAGTGGTGCGATCTCCGCCTACTGCAAGCTCCGCCTCCCGGGTTCATGCCATTCTCTTGCCTCAGCCTCCTGAGTAGCTGGGACTACAGACGCCCACCACAACGCCCAGCTAGCTTTTTGTATTTTTAGTAGAGACGGGGTTTCACCGTGTTAGCCAGGATGGTCTCGATCTCCTGACCTTGTGGTCCGCCCACCTTGGCCTCCCAAAGTACTGGGATTACAGGTGTGAGCCAGCGCACCCGGCCTAAAAAAACTAGAACTCTTAAACACATATATCAGACAATGTCTTTTCAAAAACTCCTAATGATTTCTAATGAAGATTAACATAATATCAGATCCCTATGCAGTGGTCTACAGGCTGTCATGGAGATGCCTCTAAATTAATTGCATATCTTGGAGTTTGTTCACAGTATACCAGGCTCCAGGTCCCATGAACTGATGTCAGTAGCTTTTAAGACCAAATTATTTTCTGCCTCAGCACTTTTGAACATTTTATGCCTCCTCCTTGTAAATCTTTCTGCCTCTGTTTGCAAAGGTCATTCTTTATATCCATCAGGTGTCAGTTAAAATTATACTGTTGGAGATCTCTATGAATACTCCATTCTTTTTGTCATTCCTTTTCTTAGAATCCTGTTTTTCCTGCTTATTCTTACAACAATTTGTAATTTTATAGGTAGATAGCTAGCAATCATTTACTTATTTTTGTTTGACATTCCTATTACTTTGTGTACTCTGTGAAGGCTGAACTATGTCTACTTCATTCATTCATTCATTCATTCATATATGCTCAGACCCAGTGCATTTTTTTTTTGCTATATAGTAGTGCTTAATATATTATTCTTGAATGAATCAATCATTTGATCAATCAACAATGATTTTAGGCAAATTTACCTCTCCCCAGCATATTTTCCTCTGAGCATAAATGGCTCACTGAAATTCTGGCCTGTAAATAGAAATGTATATTTCCTAAGAAGACTGCGAGTATACCAATGATTTGAAAAATGAACAGAGGTTCTTACATGACTTTAAGAAGATAATTCCCTTTCAAAATGATGCTTTTTCCAAATCTAGTAACAGGACAAAGTAAGATCATTTTGTTGCTTCACTCTTTAACATTTTAATTGTCAAAGAGCTTGGAGAATTCTCTTTGAGGTTTAGTGCACAGCAAAGTGTAATAAGAAAAAGTATTGGTTTCAGGTTACAATTGGTAAAAGAAATATTTTAAGATGTCTTTCAGCAATCTTAGTGTTTCTCTGTAATCATAAATTTGAAGGTACTGATTTTACTATATTGGTAGTAATCTTAAAGTTAATACTCTAGCTGCATATCTCAGAATGATATACAAAACAAGGATTTCCATTTTATTTGGAATTATAAAATGCTTTTACAAAGCCTGAATTTGTCCATAGCTCATGAATATTCCTTTTGTAGTGTTGTTTTGCTATTTTAGAATTCAGCAAAAGAAACTTGAATTCAGACTACATTCTAAGCATCAATAAGTATAGCAATCCTATAACACAGGCAAATATAAATGCCTGTTCTAAAAAAGCTTAAAAAGAAAAAAAAAAGTCCTTACTGAGTATATAAAATATTACGTTTTTACTCATTTAATCATCATCCATGAGGTGACAACTATTATCTCAATTTTGCCAGTGGGGAAAGAGTCATACAGAAAAGTCCCTTGTTCAAAGTCACATTGGTAGTAAGTGACTGTAAGGATTTGATTGCAAGTTTCTTAAACATCAAAGTTCAGGTTCTTTTCATTGCTGATTGCCTTCTGACTTTTTGCATCATCCAGTTCTTTTTCTTTCTCTCCCCCTACCCTTTTCCCCATTCTCCATTCCCTTTCCCCTACCACCTTGAGACAACCATTCTAATTTACATAATGTGTACATCTGGATTTGTGTGTGTTCTTACATGCATTTTTTATTTACTTGATGCTAGTTTCCACTTTTTTGATTAAACATTCTATTTTTCAGCTCACGTTGTTGTGTGAGCATATAATCTATCACTTCTCATTGCTGCATGATTCTGTCCATTAATGGAAAACCTGTTTTCTTCTAACCTTCTACCATCATAAATTACTCTGCAGCTAAAAGGCCTATGTCACTTATTTTTAGTGCATTATTTTTAGGTTATACCGTATATATATATATATAATATTTATATAATATATACTTCTTGTGCCTAAAGTTCTTTACTTCCTCCAAGTCATAAAGATATTTTCTCATGGTTTTTTCTTATATCTATAGGTTTACATCTTAGATTTAGATTTTTATTCCACCTTTGTATCTGCTGTTAGCTTAGTTCCAGTTTTATTTTGATATATAGTATGAGCCAGTATTTATAATACGATCTATTAAACAATTAAATAGTTTAAATATTTTTGTATTGTATTCACAAAAAGGAACTTATTTTTAACTTCTATGTGTGTATATATATGCATATATACATGTATACACATATATACACATACATATATATTTTTTGAGATGGGAGTCTTGCCCTGTTACCCAGGCGGGACCATAGGCATGTGTCACCATGCCTGGAAAATTTTTGTATTTTTAGTAGAGATGGGGTTCCGCCATGTTGGCCAGGCTGGTCTCGAATTCCTGACCTCAGATGATCCGGCCGCCTTGGTCTCCCAAAGTGCTGGGATTACAGGCATGAGCCACCGCACCTGGCCAGGTTGCACCATAGTATCTAAAGATTTTTCTGTGTCTTTACAACCATTTTTTTTGCCAATTTAATTGGTGTAAATGATATTTATTGTTGTTTTAATTTATCTGATTACTAATTAAGCATCTCTTTGTTTACCTATTAGCATTATTAGTTTGGCAGTCTTAAATATCACAAATATCCTTCTTCATTCTGTAATCTATGACTTTTTTTGCTTATTTTTTGCTGCCTTTGCTTTAAAAGTTCTTCACTTCCTCCAAGTCATAAAGATATTTTCTCATGGTTTTTTCTTATATCTATAGGTTTACATCTTAAGATTTAGATTTTTATTCCACCTTTGTATCTGCTGTTAGCTTAGTTCCAGTTTTATTTTGATAATATAGTGTGAGCCAGTATTTATAATATGATCTATTAAACAATGAAATAGTTTAAATATTTTTGTATTGTATTCACAAAAAGAAACTTATTTTTAACTTCTAGAGAAAGAAAAGTGACTCTTAATATTATAACGCCTTTCCCATAATAGAGTGTACTGGTATTTTTTTTAAAATAAGTGCAAGTCATATTTTATGCCTGTTTTGAATCTGATCAAAAAAAGTTTTTCCTATTTGTGTGAGTCTGTAAAGGCACATTTCCTTTTGTTTTTTCTGCTTTAGCCTAGAGTTCTCGTTGGAACTGACATGACATAGGATTTTACATTGAATAGTTAAAGAAAAAATAACTCTTTTTCCCCCCAGCAATTAATATACCACTATCGATATAATGTGATTTTATCAGTTTAAATGGAAAACTGAAATTAAAGAGAAATTCTCTATTAAAGATAATTTATTAAAATTGGTAAATTATATGCATTTGAATAAAAAAAATCATTAACAGACTTTTATTTCTTTTCCAAATATGAAGATGAAAGTGTAGATTTCAGATACATATAAAATGCATGTTTTATTATAGCATTATATGATTTTAATAGAATTATTTTCCACTAAATGATGGTTGCTTAAGAATTTTGGAAGAATGGAATTTTTGAAGTATGAGCTAGAACTGAAGGGAAGATGAAGAGTCCGAAATGGTTCCTAATTCCATTAGGGGAAAAAGACTTTTCAATCAGTCACTCGAGTGTCCACAGAGAAACGTCTGATGCTATTTCAGGGGATAATCTAGTGGAGGAAGATGGCCTCAATTGAAATGCTTAGTTGATTATGTAGTTCATTCCAGAATAAATAGGCTATTTACTTTGTCTGAAAGTTCAATAGATTTGGATTTCAGTCAAATGGAATGGCATTAGATCTTTCTTTATGAATGTTGATACAAGTGTGTTTAGAGAGGACTTCTGTCAGTTTTTATTAGTAATATTCTTATTGGTTGAGTTTTCTTCTCCCTCATTTGCTCAGTGCTCCAATTTTGTGGAGGTCATTTTATTTTTGACGTTATGACATAGGCAAGTAGAAGCCTCTAAGATTTTTTTTAAAAAACCCTGTTACAATGTTTTATTCTTATAATTTTGTAACTTTCTTAATCAAATGCTGTGGAGACAAACTGCAAGAGGAAAGGTTCTTTTTAAGGGTACACACATGTTGGAGATGAAATTCCTTGAGTTTTTGGGAGAAAATAAGAAACCTGCTGATTCTCTGAGCTAGAATAATTTATACTTTTCTATGAACATTAGAGAAGTGATATACTTTAAGGTGTGAGGACAAAAACTTGCAAAAAAACAACATTGCATTTGAATTATAGATGGCATCTAAATGATAAAATGTATAAAAATATCCCTAAAAGATAATTTCTTTGTCATAATTGAGAGGGGAGCAGTAGCGTATAGGAGAGTTTGCCACACAGAAGATCAAATTTCAGCTCTGACATTTCCTACTTTGAGAATCTAGCTGAATTACAATTCTAAACTTTTGTCCTTATCAGTAAAATGTCTATATCTGACAGTATACAAGGGGTATCTTTTGTGCCTAGCTTAACTGGGCCCTCAGCTGTTTATTTTTTTAATTTTTCCTTCTGTCCTCCATCACCATTCCCAGATTCTTACATTAAGGACAACTAAGCTAAACATTACTCATAAGGAAGACACCTTGTTTGTTTTATTAATAGCTAGTTTAGCACATAATACATTTTAAATTGTCTGCCTATGACTAATGGCAAAAGGTGTAAGTCCGTATTTCTTTAGAGAAGTAAAATAATTGGCCTTTATTTACAGTGATCTTGTAATCTTTGTTCTTTTGTGGTGGTTACTAATTATGTCAGTGTCAAACTAATCATATTAAGTAATGGAGGTTAAATTCCCCCAGTGATTTAGAATACAAGAATGGAATATTTTGGCATTAAAGAATGACTTTTCTTTTGGAAGTACATCGCGAAGTCTTTGCAATATACATATTTGTCAATTACCATCTGTGTAAAGCAACAGACAGCTGCTCAGTAGCATTTCCTGGAGTGGACTGGAAGGATCTTTCTCACCATATGACTCTGAGACAGTTAGAGACCCACCAAATTGAAGATTACTTGATGTAAATTCACAGCACATACCTGGTTGATACAGTTTATATTAACATGTTTCTTCTAAGAAACAATAAGCTCTTTTTTTTCAATAAGGAAAATATTTTTATCTGGGAAAAACTGTACAACATTTATATAGTGAATGATATTCTTTTAAAATAATTTGTTATAAGCCTTTCCTAACAGTGGGATATGACAAACTAGAACATGTGCAATACAAGTGATATTTTAAGAAGACACTCAGAAATGTAATCCAACTTCAATCGTGGATGCCCCCCAGTTTTGTTTGTTTTCTATGTCTGGAATTTTCTTGTCATAAAATTCTAAATTATTTAAGGTGAATATCCTTTGCAAAAGATGGTGTCTAAATTATGTCTCCAGAAAAGTTAGAAACCTGCAGTTTCAGGAATATTTTCATTGAGTACCCATCAAGTGCCAGAAAATATATTAGGGACAAAGAACATTTCTGTAAATAGAACAGGCAATGATATTTGCCCATCTGTTGGGCTTGTATTTTCTCTTTGAGTAACCACTATGTGCTAAGTGAAATGTAGTCAATTTAAAATGGTTTATAAAATAATAAGAAAAAAGTCATTTATAGGTACAACATTCTTTCTAAGGAGTGCAGAAGCTGAAGTTATTGTTTTGCTGAGACCTGGAGAGGTTTGCATATTCAAAATTGGGGGAAGAGCTAATTACTTGTATTGTAGAAGAAGACTTTGGAATTCTTGTGGAGGAGATTAGGTGGAGAGAGAGGGTGGGGGTGTGAGAGAGAGTAAGAAAGAAAAAGTGAAGTACATGTGTTTCCCAAATGTTGTGTTTCTGTACATCTCAGGCAGGGAACCCATTCTCCACCCATCTGACCACTTCTGCCTTATTTACAAATTTTGATTTGCTGGAAAGGGAATTCTACTGGCAAATGCACAGTCTGTTTCTCACTGATACACCTTGGCTGAGTTTCTACCTACAGTCTGACCCTTTTGAACAGAAAGTGTTAAGGACTTCCCGTTAGGGCTCGTGCTTAAGCCTCAGGTTGAACCTACTTGATCCTTAAGAAAAGCAAACAAAGCAAAACTCTCAAACAGAAAGCACTGTGTACTTATTTCCTTCCATAAAATTTTATTGTGCACTGTGTTGCAGGGACTTTGCTGAGCTTCACAAATTTCCTTCATACAACTTTTACTGCATGTAAAAGAGACCCACTCCAAAGTTAAAGTGATATGTTGTCAGAACATGAAATCAAACCAGAAGTAAAAATACTGGATATGTAAAAAATATAACAGCCTTCTAGTAAATATGCAAAAATCAAAATATGCAAAAAATCAGTCTTCTAGTAAATGCAAACATATTGGAAACATGATCATTACTGATAACTAGAAATATTTCTAATAGCAGAAAATAAACAGAAAATGGAGAAGACATAATCAAAGAAATAATAAAAGAAAATATGACTTAAATTTACAATACAAGTGCCCCACCACAATTTAAAATTTTAAAAAGACAAGCTGAAGGCACATATTTATGAAAATTCATAATACTAGAGTTAAAGAAAAAAATTTAAGGTCTTTAGAAATAAAAATTAAGTCAAATCCCGGTGATTAGTACTCAAAATGACTTTACACTTTCCAACAGTGATCCTAGAAATTAGAAGAAATTGCAGCAATGTATTCATATTCTGAAGGAAAATAACTATCTTTCGGTCTGAATTGTCATGATTATATAAAGGTTAAGTAAATAAGTTACTCCAACTTTCCCAAGTTAATTTTTTAAAGAAACATAGATCTTGACTTCCAGCTAATACACAAAGTTTTTAACCTGGAGGAAACTGCTAACTGAGCTGTGATGGTAAGTAAAATGTGTATTTCTTTTCTTTTGGGTACAATAGCTATATCATTATACAGCAAAGGAGAGAAATTGCTACGCAGGATTTAGTGATATTTTCAAGGATAGCATTTAATAGGAGAAATTTCTGCTTGAGGTGAAGATCTGTCTGGAAATTTTTGTTAGACTAATTTTTTTAAATGTTAATTATGATGCTATACTTTTTCTGAATCAGTTCAAGGAGATTAATAGTCAAAAAAGAAGGTGTGCAGACAGTTGCTTAATGAGATCTGAGAAGGAAATTTAGAATCCTATGTTCTTTTCATCATCAACAGGCATTTTACCTAAAAGTCTAGAAAGACACCATTGTGATTTTTTTTCCTTTGTCCTGTAACTCTTTCCTATGGCTTGGACAGTGACAATAGCATTCGTGCTGTTCAACTGGCAGGGAACCTAATTATGGCTGTTTTATCTGAAGCTCAGATAATTTCAGAGCTCTTTGAAAAGATTATTACCTTAATCTACCAGTTAAATTCTTCAGTGCACTTATGAGAACCATAGCATCAACTCTGTAGATTGTAAGAGAAATCTAGAATTTAGAAAGATGAGGGAGTGAGCAAAATGAGCATTGAATTAGATGTCTGGAGACCTAGGTTCTGGAACTATTTTTGGGTAGTTGACCTCATCTTTTTGGAGTGCCATTGCCTAATCAGAAAAATAAGGACGATGGAATAGGTGGTCTTCTGAATCTAAATTATTTTGTTGAATTTTTTTCTCTACTTTGAATTCTCAAAAATATTTTGCTTTAGAAGCGTTCTATTAGTATGTATAATGATGTAAAGCAGCGGTCCACAACCATTTTGGCACCAGGGATCATTTTTGTGGGTAACAATTTTTTCACAGGCCAGGGGGTACTGAGAGCGGGGGATGGTTTCGGGATAACTCAAGTGCATTACAATTATTGATTGACTGATTGATTGGAGACAGAGTCTTGCTCTGTCACCCAGGCTGGTGTGCAGTGGCTTGATCTCGGCTCACTGCAACTGCCGCCTCCTGGGTTCAAGCAATTCTCCTGCTTCAGCCACCTGAGTAGCTGGGACTACAGATGCCCACCACCATGCCCGGCTAATTTTTTGTATTTTTGTAGAGACGGGGTTTCACCTTGTTGCCCAGGCTGGTCTCAAACTCCTGAGCTCAATCTGCCCTCCTCAGCCTCCCAAAGTGCCAGGATTACAGGTGTGAGCCACCGCACCCAGCCAGTGCATTACATTTATTGTGCACTTTATTTATATTATCATTACATTGTAACATACAATGAAATAATTATACAACTCAACATAATGTAGAATCAGTGGGAGCCCTGAGCTTGTGTTCCTGCAACTAGAGGGTTCCATCTGTGGGGGATGGGAGGCAGTGACAGATTATGAGGCATTAGATTCCCATAGGGAGAGCATAACCTAGATCCCTCGCATGTGTAGTTCACAATAGGGTTCTCACTCCTGTGAGAATCTCATGCTGTGGCTCATCTGACAGGAGACGGAGCTCAGGTGGTAATGCAAGCAATGGGCAGTGGCTGTAAATACAGATGAAGCTTTGCTCACTCACCAGCAGCTCACCTCCTGCTGTGCAGCCTGATTCCTAACAGGCCAAAGACCAATACAGGTCCATGGCCCAAGGGTTAGGGACCCCTGATGTAAAAGACTTATATATGTTGGTGAAAAGAGCAGACACAGAGGAAATTCCACACACACATGGATTTAAATCTTGGATTTATTCTTAGGGGCAGTATCATCTGGAATGGATTATTCTGCCTCTCTGAGATTCACCTTCTACAACTATAAAAAGAGAAACATGGCACTTAGTTTTCAATATTTTTCAAAAATTGCTAATAGTATAAGTACCTGACATAATAAAAACATTCAATTAATAGCAACTGTTATTTGTGTGATGTTTTCTAACTTAAGAACTAGGACATGAATTTAACCACACAGGAATTCTCATTTTTGAGAAGATAAAGAATGAGGAAAATCTGAAAAATATTGGAAATCATTAATAAAATTCTCCTTTGATCAAAGATTTATTTCGGCATTCCCTAATTTGCCCTGCTCTTGGGTACGTTAGAATACATTTATCCTACTTTACACTTTGAAAAATTTGTGCAAATGCCATGATTGTAGCATTAGCCTGATTTTTTCCCAGTCTTCTGGTTTTTTTTTTTTTTTTTTTTTTTAACTCAACATATATTGTGAAACACTCGGGTATTTATTCCTCAGGAAAGTATGACATATGAATGAGAGCTAGAGGATAAGATCTTGTGATAATAAATTTTTGAGGTTAGTCTCTCTGTGTCCTTGCAGTTTTCGCATGTAACTACTTACTCTGTGGAGTCTACACTTATATGTAAAAGGCAGTTTCTGTGTTAGCTGGTTTATTTTAAAAAGAAAAGACTTGGGGCAGTGACCATCTCCCTTATCTGAAGACAGTGATATTAGATCATTCCCAGACTGGCCTATTTTGCTTTCACATACTGCAAAATGCTTGATATGCCTCATTTTTGTGCTTTAGTAATCATTCAGACTTTGACATGCATTTCTTGAGGGTGTTATAACATGTTTTTGAATTTTCTCCAGGAAGCACTCTGATGATGTGATGAATAATTTAGCTGGATAACTATTTACTAGAGAAAACACGAAGGATGAAAAAATCTAAACAAACTTTTTTCACTGAGATAAATAATGAGGGCACCTACTCTTTTGGCAAACGGTATAATTACTGCTTTCCTGGTTACCAGTGAAATCTGGGATATGCTAATGCTTTGGCATAAACAACTGAATATAAATCTCAATAATTGAAGTTTGACCAAAAGAGGGGTTAAATATGTCTAAGAGGTCAAACACAGAGCAGAAAAAAAAGAATGGGAAATGATCTTAGTCTGAATCGCAAGATTGCATGTTTTGCTTTTACTCAAAAGAGAAGGAACTGGTATTTAGAAGGAGTTTTTTTTTCAGAGAGTAAGGCGTTCAGAGTCACTGGGTCTGAGTGTGAATGCTGGCCCACCTGCTATGTGAATGGCCTTGAGCAAGGAAATACATCTCTCAGCCTGGTTTTCCACTTCTCTAATATAGGATCACACCCTCTGCCTTGGCTACATAAGAGAACTGTTATAAGGTATGCTAAAGTTGCAACTGAGAAAACCTGCCGTAAGCTATAAAGGACTAGGAAATGTCAGAAATGATTGTAATGCTGTTGGCCCTTCAGCTGCAGTGCCAGCTGCAGAAATTAAAAGGAGGCTGAAAATTTGATGTTGCCCTTGGAAGTGAGGGGAAACATTGTTCTCCTCAGCAAACCTGGTCTAACATGTCTGCCAATCCAGTGAACGTATTTCAGCATGTGTCATGTGGGATGCACCTTATGAAGGGCTGTCTATACAGATGTTAGGGTATATCTTAGTTAATTTGGCTTATAACAAAGTGCCATAGAGTGGGTAGCTCATAACAAATAAATTTATTTTTCACAGTTCTGGAAGCTGGGAAATTTGAGACCAAGGACCCAGCATGTTCAGGTTCCTGTGTGGGCTCTCTTCTGGGCTGCAGACGGCCACCTTCTCGCATGTCCCCTCTTAGAAAGAGAATAAGAGAGCTCTTGGGGGTTCCTTTTATAAAGGCTCTAATTCTGTTTATATGAACTATTACTGATGACGTAATTACCTCCCAGAAGCCCCACCTTCTTATGCCATCCTTTTGGGGGTTGGAATTTCAACATATGGGTTTGGAGAGACACAAACCTTCAGTCCATTACAGGGTCCAAGTTGCTTCATGATCCACAAACTACCAAAATCTAATACTTGATACAAATTCACCCAGAAAAACATTAGAATACAGGGATCTGTCTTGTTCTAAAATGGGAATTTATTATGCTTAAACCAAACCTTATAGTGAATCCTTGAAAATTCAGACCAGAGTCTGAATGTACCCCTCTAGGGTACTTACCACTTGGATATTTCTAGTAATTTATAATGAGCATTGAGACTGCCCATTCAGATATATTCATATACTTCTTTAAATAATCAAAACGTGTTTTCTCTTCCCTTCTATTTACTGCTGATTTTCATTCTACCTAACTTCTCTGCAAAGATGGTTTACCTTGGTAACTAGCAATAACAATAATAATAATAGTAATAGTAGTAATAGCAAAGGTATCATTTACTTAACTCCATCAGAATTTTACATACTCTTATTTCTGATTTTATTATTTCTTTACCATGCAAATTTGAACAGAATCATCTCTGTCCAATGGCCCATCTTTCTTATTACTCATCCACTCTTAACTGCTTGCAATGTATAACCGTAACCCTGCTCTAAAACTACTGACCTAACAGGCAGCAGGGAATTCCTTTTATTCAGTTCACTAGCTCTTTCAAAATTCTAATCTGCTTTGACTTTTCAGTACCATTTAACTCTCTGGAATAATTTCTTTGTTTTTGAAATCCTCTATACTGTGGCATGTCAATTTATACCTTTGTGAGAGCTTCTTGGTCTCCTCTGTCTACTCCCTCTGTTCCCAGTCCCTGTGTGTAAATTCTGCCCTCTCCATTCCCACTGTGACTCCTCAGTTTTAGGCTGTCATCATTTCTCACCAAGATGTTGAACTGGCTCCTCCGTGAGAGAGCAGAGTGGAGAGGTGAAGCAAGTGTCTGCCTGCCTTCCTGGTCCATGACCTCTCCCTGCCCTTCCATGCTGGGTGACCATCTGCATGTAAAGTTGGTTTTAGCTTTCTTATTGGTGAAGTGGGGATAATAATAGTATCTATTTTTTGGATGAATGGGAGGGGTCAATATGTTACTACGTGCAAAAATGCTTAAAATAATTCCTGGCCCTTGGTAAGTGCAACATAAGTGCTGCCATTACTGTCTTTGTTTTAATATTAGTTATGATCATTATCATTTTAAGTGGTCTCCCTGCTGTTGGATCACTTGCTTCCAGTACATTCTGTACACAGCAGTCAAATTATTGTAAAACAAAGCTTAGTTTATGTTACTAAGCTGTTTCATATTCATATTTGCATTCTATATTGCCTAACAATTTTAATCAGGCCCTCAATAGTCCTGGTTTGTGTTTCCTGGCTTGTCTGCAAGTCTCAGTATAATAGTCAGTACTGATGTCTCCCTTCCCCACCGTGCTTTCCTTACTTTCTAGAATTGTGCTTTCCTTCCACCTCCATTAAAATCCTACCTGCCATTCACAAGACCCAGAACAAATGCTACCAGACCCTTGATGCCTTTTGTAATCCTCTATGATCAAGCATAAGTCTGTCCTCTCTGAAACTATTAAGTAAAGGTCTTTATTTTAGGTTTCTTTTTGGCCCCATATCTCTGTATTTGGTATTTTATTTATTTATGTACATGTTGTTATCTTTTTTCCTAGATTATAAACTCCTTGGGGAAGAGCCTTTATATGGCCTTCCAGCTCCCTGCACAGGACATTACATCCAGTAGACAGATGTTCAATGAAGGGCTATTGAATTCATGTGGATTTCCATGTGAGAATAGAGCTGGATATTCACTTCCCTTTTTGCTGTGCTTGCTAAGCAGACTCATTTGCACCGGCCACTACCCCAGTTGGTCACCAGGAATAGAGGGTACTTATGGAGATTCTTTTCCCACCCCCCACCATCTTTTAGGATTTAGATGTTGTTTATACACTGAAAAGTTCAGCTTTTGGCTCATAGTAGCAGATACTGTTGGATATTTGTTGAATGAAAAAGAAAATAAATAGTAAACATTTGCTGAGTGAGAAAGAAAAAATAAATAATGAATAACCACACCCTGACCCACTTGTCTGCCAGAAGTGGGAAAAAGTTGTAAATAAGCATTTTCTGGAGGAAAAACACACAACCCACACTTGCTTCTGAATGGTGTGGGAAACATAGATTGAGTCTAAAATTGAGAGGCATGCTTATGTTTACTAAGCACATGGAGAAGCATTATCAGAACACTACTGGCTTTTGCAATACATTCTTTCGTCTTTTCAAAAGTAACTTTTTCTATCACATTTGGCTTAGGTTAAGATTCAAATCAATTTACCCTTCACTTGATTCGTTTTTGTCAGTGTGGTAACCTTATCAGCAATGCAGTTTGCACCCAAAAAGATTTGCTGCAGAAATGAATGAGGCCCTCTAAGCCCAATGTGAATATAAACTCCACAGCGATGGTAGAAATGGTCTCAGGTGACCCGTCAGAATAAGAAGTACTTCCTCTCCAGAGGTCCTGGCTTGTTATCCCCCAGAGCCACACAGTGAATGAAGCTAAACTCCTGTTCTTGAGGTGGAATTATCTCATAACATTTGACACTTTAGTAGTTTATAAAGATAACCCAGGAAATAAAATTTCAGGAGTTGAAACAAGTATTCACTGAAGACAGGACAACTAAAATATGCCACAAAAATTGAGGATCAATATATCAATATGGAAGGTTTTTAAAAATTTTTATTTGTTTAACTTTTATTTTTGTGCTTGGCTTTTCTTGGGATGTATTTAGGTATGAAGACAGTAGAAATAAGATGTATACACTTTGGGAGGCTGAGGCAGGTGGATCGCCTGAGGTCAGGAGTTGGAGACCAGCCTGGCCAACATAGTGAAACCCCATCTCTACTAAAAATACAAAAAATTATCTGGGCATGGTGGCAGGCACCTGTAATTCCAGCTACTTGGGAGGCTGAGGCAGGAGAATCACTTGAACACCTGGGAGGCGGAGATTGCAATTAGCCAAGATGGAGCCATTGCACTCCAGCTTGGGCAACAAGAGCGAAACTCCGTCTCAAAAAACAGAATGACTTCTGCTGAGATATCAAGACCACGTTGGTCTTGACCCCTGCTTCCAGGAAGCCTTGCTTGACTGTCTAGGGCTGAATTTTATACCATTTTAAAAGACCCTGCTAATTCCTGTCCTTACATACATCACATAGCAGTGATCATTTAATTGTCCAGACTCCCCATCTACGTCACAAGCCACCTGAAGGCAGATCACAACTACATAGCTCCTTGCCTGGTGCCTGGCTCTAGTCTATATTTACCGGATGCTGTATTAAAAGAGGTAAAACCAAGGCATGAGTCTGCTGTTGCAGCTCAGAGGCCTCAATCAGACAGATGCCAAGCTGCATTTGATCGGCAGTCTTGTATATTTGACTGACAACGTTCTGGCTTGCAAGTATTTAATAACAACAGAAAGTGAATTAGTCACCAATACATAAAAATTGAGAGACTTTACACAAATCTGAATTCCTGGGCTCTCTTGAAATACCTGAAAATCTGACGACGTTGGACGTACATTGCTACAAAAACCTGGAGAAGAATGTCATGGCTATGAATAGTGAAAGTATTCTCCACTCTATCCTATTCCCCCTGGCACTTAAAGCTTCCTTAGTTCTCACCTCTAACAACCCACTGGGCCTATAGGAACTTGGAGCTGTTCCTTCTCTTCCTGGGTGTCTCATTAGAGGGATGACCCCAAGCTTCTCCTCCCCCTCTTCCCTCTGACTCTTCCTCTTGTTAAAAGAGCATGGATCTTGCTTCCTAAGAAGGATCTTATCCTCTAAAGCCATTGTCCTGCTGAGCGACAGGAAGCTCCTCATCTACAGTGGCCCTGCAGGTACCGAGAAGGCTTTTCATGCAGCTCTGACTCCACATGGGAGTGATCACAATCAGGATTCCCTCACAGACTGCCTGGCTTCAGTGCTGCACTCTCCTGCCTTGAGTCTTGAACTGCTTCGTGATCCTGACCACAGTCTTGTCACCTGCTTGGCCTGAGAAGCATGAAGGTGGTAGATCCTGGTGCCGCTCCTGACCACCCAGCAGATAACACTTTGATTTTTTTTCTAAGTAGAAATTGATCAGTGTGGGATTTCGAGATTTTCAAAGGTGCCTTTGTTTAAATCGAGAATTGGGCAAGGTAGGGATCTTCGTTAAAAAGCACCATGTGGTCACCGGGGTTAATGAGGCAGATCAGAGCAGCACTGACACTAAATAAAGGCCAATTAACTCCAATCACTGCAGGCCTGGGTGCTTTCTGGCAGTGCAATCTCCCTGTGGGGGGCTTCTTGTCCTGACAACTCTCTGGCAGAGGTAAGGAGGACTGGCTCCAAAAGAAGGCCCCTGAGCAATGGTGTGGGGTGAGGGCATTGCCCCTCCCCACCACACTGCCCATCAGGGGCTTATGGCTTTTCTTGGAAGGCATCGCCCCCACCCAGCCTGCCCTGCATGGTGCTGTGGACAGAGAAGCAAGACTCAGAGACTGAGGCCTTCTGTGGGCTCCCAACCAGCTCAGGGGCCAAGCACAGAGATTCAGATTCTCAAGACCCCTTTTCTCTATCCATTTAATTAATTGCCTTGAAGAGAGGATCACAGAGTTCTTGCTGAAAAATTATTTAAGTCCATGAATGAAGACAAATGATTTCAACACAAACATTGCTCAATTGGGTACAAAAAATTTTTTTCCCTTGTGTTTGCTTTAGTGATAAAAATAGCCAGTGCTGATGATATAAATTTCACCTCGTGCCAAGTGCTGATCTGAAACCTTTACCTACATTGGCTCAGCTGGTCTTCACAAATTTTCTATGATATGGATACTATTATTAATCCCATTTATACATGGGAAAACAGAGGCATTGGAAAAGTTCAGTTCTATGCTAGGTACTTTCCATGCCTACTTCTATGTGATTCTCATAAAAACCTCTGTGTGGTGAGTATTTTTAGCACTATATTACAAATGAGGACACTGAGATTCAGAAAACTTGTGTGACATATCTGGTACAGTATTGCTCCTAATGATACTAATAAAATGAGGATTTGGATTCACTTTTTTTTTCTATTTCCAAAGTATGGTGGTATAGAATAGCTAACTGCCTAGGCTGAAGGATTTAAAATTTTTCCTTAAGATTTATCTGTGAGCCCTCAGTTTTTCTATTCAAGGTTTCTGGATTGGAGAGTATAATCAGTACCAAAAACTAATAATGATCTTAAAATAGTGGGTACAGAATAATGCCTCTGGCTCCAGCTTGCTCCATTGAGTTTCACACCTGGCTGTATTACTTTCTTGCTTCTGACTTCTTTCAGCCACTAAGCCGTGGATGTTCTCAGTCCTCAGTCATTAAAGACTAGAACATCGCCCAAAGCCACCTTCGCTACTGCAACTACAGTCATTAGCATAACAGACCTCAGCATCCACAGAATCACTTCATCCAACACCCCGATCTCTCATTCCCTTTGCCTCCTCATCTCCAACCACCTTCTTCGCTTCGTCTAAGCCACACATTTCATCATCATACCTTGGAATTTCCCAATACCAACAACTATATCAGCTCTAATATTCCATGTTAAAATGCTCCATTTGTTTATCAAACACCCTCTGTTACTATCTGGTTAGTTCAAATACCTCCCATATTCTCTGACCTCACGAAACTCCCAATTTCCCCCAACACTTAGCTCCCTGGGAGCACCACTTTTCTTTCACTCCTGCTTGGATGCCATGATTCCAGCATTAGTTGCTCTCTTCCTACTTCAAACCCACAAGATGAACCTTCCTATCAACCTTCTCCACATTGACAACCAAGAAGTTGTAGACAATCACACAATGGGGGAGCTTGGCTGTATTGTTTATGACATACATTCAGGTCATCTCTAACTGAGCTGTCAGTCCTGCTCAACAGTCTCACTAATTTTTCTTTCGAGCTCACTCTCCCACCTTTTATGCTACCTTATAAATAGCTCTTCTCCAATCCTTCCGTTTCTTTTCATTCTCACTTCAAACACACCAGACTCAGCCACCATCACCTTACTCAAAAGCACAAATATTTTTCTAATCAGTCTTCAATTCAGTCTTGCCACTTTGCCTATTCATTCACCACACATAAGTCAAAATAATGTGTTTAGATCCTACATTTTATCATTTGATTCCCCTGCTTTAAAACTTTAGTGTCATTCCATAGCTAATAAGATAAAATAAAAATTCTTACCTCGGTTATCCTACAAGTATTGGTTCATCTGGCTGTGCCTAAACCTCACCATTCTTGCATACAATAATCCACCCCTTTACATTCTACCTTCATGATCTTATTTTAGTTTCTTGAACATGCCAAGCTTCTTTCCAATTCAATGTATTTTGCATTTGTTACTTATATACTTGTCTGTCTCTGAAAAACAGCTCCCGTTCATTACCCAGCTTTCACTATTTCAAGATCTCAACTTAAATATCACATTCACAGTTTTTCACGAAGCCCCCTCTACCCCTGTCTGTTGTGAGTCACTGCTCCTGTCATTCACTCTTCCAGTGCTGGGTGCTTTTCCTTTAAAGGACCAACCATTTTTAGAATATTTACATATGTACTTATATTTTTAAATTCTATCTTGGAAATCAGATTGTAAGATTAAGAATGGAAGGTTCCAGATATGCTCACTTACTATTATAAGCCAGGATCTAGTACAGTGAAACTTGAGAAACATCTTATAAACATTTAATTCACTTTAACGTAAACTAGATTTGATACCTTGGACTTGGTGTTAACCTCCCAGAACCTAATTTCCTGAGTGGCACAACAGGGGCACAATACTCCTGAGAACTATGATCAGGTTGCAGTGTAATAATGGGTGGAATCCACACTTTGGCAATTCTACAGTGCTTTGCCAACTACAAAGCTGATGACCTCAGTGACAGTGAGCACACCCAGTGCCCAGAGCTTGGTTTGTAATACCATTCATCAATTAAAACAACTTGGTTTCCTTGGAGAGATGGATGATTCTAGGGTTAAAGCAAGAAATATATATTTACCTATATGAACCTGGAGCATCTTATACTGCCAGAAAGCAAGGAAGTGCTAAAAACAAAACAAATACACACACACACACACACACAAAACAAAAACAAAAAACTCACACTGATTGTTAGATATCAAAGGGACACAGGAGCCAACAAAAGTATTTCAAATGGCCAAAGCTGAAAAAATTTGAGCAACAAAATAAATAAAGTAGTTTTGTATTATAACTGAAAGTATAAGACAAATGTTGATGAGACCATGCAGATATAAATAAATAATTGAATAAATACAAAAATGAGAAAAAGAGACCAATATGCCATGCAGAAGAATTTACGATAATTTATGTAGATATTCAGTCCTTGAGGTGTTGGCTGTACATAGTGACCTTGTTTCTCCTTCCTGAAGAGTACACAGGGAAAGAAGGAACAAGGAATAACTAAATGGTAGGAAAATCTGACAAACACTACCCCAGCCCGGTAATCAAGGTCAATACTCACAATCATAAGTGATGCTGATATTATGTACCTTTGATAGGACATGATGAAAATGGCACTTTACATCTGTAGTCTTCCTTCCTGGAACCCATAAACCCAATCTAATTGTGAGAAAAACACCAGACAAATTCGAATCATGGGCCATCCTATAAAATACCTGAACCAGAACTCTTTAAAACCATCAAGGTCATCACAGACAAGCAAAATCTGAGAAATTGACACAGCCAAGGGGAGGCTAAGGAAACATGACAATGGAATAAAATGTGGTCTGCTGGAGGGGATCCTGGAACAGAAAAGGACATGGGGTAAAAATGAAGGAAGTCTGAATAGACTGTGGACTTTAGTTGATAACTTCCTATCAATATTCTTTCATTCACAGTGGGAAATACACCATATTAACGTAGGAGGTAATGCAATTTTATCTTACTTTATGGTGGAAATAATAGAGGAAACTGGGTGTGGAGTATGAGGAAAACTTCTGTACTGTTTTCTCAATTTTTCTGTAAATCTTTTTTTTTTAAAAAACAAAAAACAAACAAACAAACAAAAAACACAGAGTCTTGCTCTGTCGTCCAGGCTGGAGTGCAGTGTCATGATCTCAGCTCACTGCAACCTCTGCCTCCTGGGTTCAAGCAATTCTCCTGCCTCAGCCTCCCAAGTAGCTGGGATTACAGGCATGCATCAACCACACCTGGCTAATTTTTGTATTTTTAGTAGAGATGGGGTTTTACCATGTCATCCAGGGTGGTCTCAAACTCCTGACCTCAGGTGATCTGCCTGCCTCAGCCTCCCAAACTGCTGGGATCACATGCGTGAGCCACCACACCTGGTCAATTTTTCAATAAATCTGAAACTTTTCCTTTTTTTCTTGAGATGGAGTCTCGCTCTGTCACCCAGGCTGGAGTTCAGTGGTGCAATCTCGTCTCACTGCAACCTCCATCTCCTGGGTTCAAGTGATTCTTCTGCCTCAGCCTCCCAAGTAGCTGGGACTATAGGCACACGCCACTGTGCCTGGCTAATTTTTGTATTTCTAGTAGAGATGGGGTTTCACCATATTGGCCAGGCTGGTCTCGAACTCCTGACCTCGTGATCCACCTGCCTCGGCCTCCTAAAGTGCTGGGATTACAGGCGTGAGCCACTGTGCCTGGCTTAAATCTGAAACTTTTCTAAACATGAAATCTACTTTAAAAATACTGTGCATCATCATCATCATCCACTTGCTGTGGTCTAAAAATACTCAGATGTATCTACCTTCTTTCCCCCAAATCGATGCCTTTGTTGTTGCTTTCAATGTACGTTATTTTGAATGCTTTGTATACTGTAGAGTGCTCCACAAAGTCAGGAAGCTCTTTTTCTTGTATGGCTCACTGCCCTCTTCAGGTGTCACGCTGGATGTTCTCAAGTTATCTCTGGTCTTGTCAGGCTTTACTCCTCCTTCCTGTCCTGAGGCACAGGCTTGCACTCCCTCTTTCTCTACCTCTGTGTTTGCTCACACTCTTGCTCTCTATCCTGCTGCTCTACCTTCTCTTTCTGTTCTTGTGGGATAACTATGGGAATAAAATTCAGATTTATTTTCCTAATTCTCTTCTGAAAATTTTGAACTGGGGAATATTGATGTCTTCTATTTCTATCTTCTAACTTTACAAAATAAGGATATTCTCCAGATTCACAAGGAATGTGTATGAGCACTAAGAGAATGCATTTGGAACCCTTTAGGCAATGGAAGAGGAAGGACCAGAAATTCAGCAAAATCAATAGCTGAGTTCTTACAGAGAAAGAGAGGCAGGGAACATTATGTCTCTATCTATGATGAGAGGCATGTTTTTCTACTCTCTAGGAAATGACTTCCTGCAAATGATGGCCAGATAAATCAGAGGTCATGGTCCGTGGAATTGCTATTTTTCTCAGTTGACAATGTGTAGACGACAGGGTTTATAACCAGTACTACTTCTCATGCCATTTGCTCTGATTTTATAACAGCGACTTCAGCTCCAATTGTGGACCTGATTGCAAGATAGTCTTAAATTCTCAAAAGGAGCTAGAACCCTGGAATGTATGTAAATTTTTTAAATTTATTTTTAAAACCTGAATGCCAAAAAGTATTTGAATGAAAGAGTCAATCAGTCCAAAAACAATTGCGTACCTCTCTGGAAGGTCTAGTGAAAGGGAAAGAGAAGAGAGAAGGAAGAAAGGAGAATGGGGAAAAAAAACTTTTCTTCCTTTTACATATCCAGCTGTAATGAGTTCAGAATGCAATATTGTGCCAGTGGGTTACAGTGTGTTTCATAAAAGGCCTTCAATTCATGTTAGTTGAGTGAATAAATAAAGAGATACATTGAAAACAATTTTAAGGTCTTTTGTAGGAGTGATTAGCAAACATTTATAAATACAAAAAAAAAAGTTATTAAGAATTCTAGGCCGAGCGTGGTGGCTCATGCCTGTAATCCCAGCACTTTGGGAGGCTGAGGCAGGTGAATCACCTGAGGTCAGGAGTTCCAGACCAGCCTGGCCAACATGGTGAAACCCCATCTGTAGAGATATACGAAAATTAGCCATGTGGTGGTGGGCGCCTGTAATCCCAGCTACTCAGGAGCATGAGGTGGTAGGATTGCTTGAACCTGGGAGACGAAGGTTGCAGTGAGCCAAGATCACACCATTGCCCTTTAGCCTATGTGACAGAGCAAGATTTTGTCTCAAAAAAAGAAAAAAAAATTCTGATTTTTCCTATGATGTCTATCTAACAAAATAAAATCACCATATTTTCTTGCACTTTGCCCTGAAAAGCATAGTATTAATATGGAATGAATTGGAGTTAGGTAAATCTAAGTTTAAATTCTACCCCTATTACCTGCTAACTACAGGGCCTTACATGAGTGGATAACTCTCTCCTCCTTGGTGTCTGCATCTTGCATAAGTCTCTGGCTAAACTCATCAATTACCAGATACTCCCCATTTATTTCCCAGATAGTGCCTAACACACATCCTTTAACAGAGAGCAAGGTTTTGTAGTCATCTCTCTTTGTAACCGCTTTGTTATTTAATAGTTGTCCAGATGCAGCAGTGCTGTAGGTGCTGTACGAGAATAAAATGCATCAGTTAAAAATTATTCCAACCTAGTTTATTGACATTCTCAATTATATTGGTCATGAATGGAACGTTCCTAGGGAATAGATGGTGATAATAGTTGTGCTCAATTATGGCCTTATCATTTTTAGGTGTCCTCTGTTTTCTATGACTCATAATTAGGACTCAACATTTTTATATTTGATCATTTTATTTTTCTTATTAGAGTCCATTATTCTCCTGTGAAGTTTTGCCAGAGATATGGCATACAAATTGGATTTGTGTATGCTGTATACTAAGTAGACATTTGAGGAATGAAAAATATGAATTCACAAATTAGGCAGGCATCCTTGTTGTATCTATCATATGGATTTTCATGACACAGACTAAATAACAATCATTGCACAAAGGCCGTAGTGCAGCAGGGCAAATGGTGGAGTTACTTGTTTGATATTAATTCAGTGCTTTGCCCAATAATGCAAAATTGTCCTAATGTTACATTTGAGGAAAAAGACACATCGAGTGCCAGCATTCAAACAGGCAGTGTGTTAAGGATATGTTTATAGGTTGCCTTATCAAACAGTTACAACAAACCAAGAGAGGAGTTGTCTGTCCTTCAAAGTTTAGATGAGGAATGTGAAGGTTGGAGGTGTGAAATGCCAGTCTTATGGCCACATAGCTCCCTTGTGATAGATCCAGGATTTAATGCTGGGTATATTTCACATCAACCATAACATAGGTCTTCCACTTTGAGAAAGATACGTATTTAATTTTACTTGGAACTCGGGAAATTAGAAACAAAAGCAGCTGTGGATTGAAAGATAGGAATTGTGCAGATTGGGCCTGAAACTGATATCCCCAGGAAACTAATTGTGAAATGGAAGATGAAAGTTGGGTGCTGGGTGTGACAGTCTCTGGGATTATTCCAGAGCTCAGACCTATTCTGTGGCCTTATGGAATTAATGCAACCCCATATGAAAGGGAGCTTTTCAGTCACCATGGGTTAATTTCAGACAAATAAAACATCTGCCATTGATCGAAAATCTGAATGTTCAATTTTACAGAAGTTGTTATCTTTTTCACTTCAGTTCACTTTCCATTTAAAACTGAAAATCAATCCTTCTCAGGGCCTTTGTGTGTTTTTGGAGATGCACACTACAATTTCCTGCCAAAATACTTGTCAAATGTTAGCATACATTTGACAAGTAGTCCTTGGGCCAGAGTCATTAAGATAAAAAATCCTGGTTTACTCAATCTAGGAAGACCCAGCGCACCTGACACCAAGTCTGTGCAGAGTAACCTTGAATTCAGGATGTTTATGAAAATTCCAGCACCTACACTCCTCTTTATTAATTATAAATTAGATGGCACACCGTAGTAATCATCTTGTTAAACACAGCCATAGGCAAACTTAGAAAAAGAAATATTAAGTAAAAAGTAGTATAATAAAATGGCAGCAGAACAACTAGGATGGAGTTTGCAAACACTGACCACTCCGTAACAATGAATTAGGCTGGGTGTGGTGGCTCATGCCTGTAATCCCAGAGCTTTGAAAGGCAGAGGTGGAAGGATTGCATCAGCCCCGGAGTTTGAGACCAGCCTGAGCTACATAGTGAGACCTTATGTCTACAAGAATTGTTTAAAAATATTATCCAGGCATGGTGCTGCACACCTATAGTCCCAACTACTCAGGAGGCTGAGCGGGGAGGATCACTTGAGGACAGGAGTTTGAAGTTACCATGAGATATAATTACACCTTTGCACTCCAACCTGGGTGACAGGGCAAGACCTTGTCTCTATTAAAAAAACAAAACAAAACTGATAAACAAATAAATAAATAGATAAAAATAAATAAATGTTATTCAGGCTGCAGCCAAGTATTTCCTGTTGCTACAATGCCATACTTTCTATTCCCTGTCCCACAAAATACGCATTCATTTCTAAGGCTGAAAAGTTGCCTAGACAGGGTTGGTTCATAAATGGATTGCTCTTTCAGTCATAACAAAAAGCGATACATCTTCATAGTCAGGCTAAAGGGCTTAGTAATTCACCTTATCTGTGTATCTCCTAAAGAAATTAGCAAAATCACTGAGTTTGGCGTTTGTACTTGGTGCCCTGGCTTTGGTGGAACCTATAATAGTGGTACAAATAACACATGGGAGACGTTTATAATGCCAAAGCAGCTAGAGTTGTAAGTGCAGCATTATAGGAGTAGAGTCATGTCTTTCTTGGAGCATCAGGAAGGGATTCTTAGAAGTGACATGTGCCCTGGATTAAGTAGAGGCCTGAGGCATCATATTCCTTCAACTTTCCAGGAAATCTCAATTATATCTGGAATTAGATGCTGGGAAATAACATGACAATGACAGGTTGGGTAAAGACAATGAATGGGTCACCAAGAGGTTTGCCATTTATCTTTTAAGCCATGGCATTTGCAGTGGGAATATGTCAGGATCAGATTTCTGGTTTGAGATCGCTAGAGAAGCAGAGTGAGAATGGACTGGAGTGGTAGTGACTGGTGACAGAGAGACCATTTTAGTCTTCTCCATTTCACTGAGTAAAATTAGGGAGATAGTAAATCTATTAAAAAGGTAGTCTAAGCTGAGCTGGGGAAACATGACCCCCCCATACAGGCAGGACACAATAAATGACTAATAAAACAGTATACATTTAGGTGCTACATGATGTTGTACAGCCTTCATGTGGTAAAGGAGTTCTGTGAAGCAAGTGAGCAGAGAGGTCTGGAGTTGATAGGCTTGGAAATTTGTTTCCTCAAAATCTCATGTTGAAATGTAATCACCAATGCTGTGAGTGGGGCCTGGTGGGAGGTATTTGGATCATGGGGCAGGTTGCTCATGAATGGCTTAATACCATCCCCTTGGTGATGAGTGAGTTCTCTCTCTTGCAGTTCACATGAGATCTAGTTGTTTAAAAGAGCTAGAGACTGATATGGTTTGGCTGTGTCCCCACCCAAAATCTCACCTTGAAATGCAAACCCCATAATCCTCATAATCCCCACATGTCAAGGGAGAAACCAGCTGGAGGTAATTGAATCATGGGGGTGGTTTCCTCCATGCTGTTCTCCTGAATTAGTTCTCATGAGATCTGATGGTTTTATAAGGGGCGCCACCCGCTTCACTCATTCACTCTCCTGTCTCCTGCCACCATATGAAGAAGGTCAGTGCCTGCTTCCCCTTCTGCCATGATTGTAAGTTTCCTGAGGCCTCCCCAGCCATGTGGAACTGAGAGTCAATTAAACCTCTTTCCTTTATAAATTACCCAGTGTTGGGTATTTCTTTATAGCAGTGTGAAAATGGACTAATTGCCGAGACCAGCTGGGTCGTGGAGACCTTAACCCAGCGGCGCTAGAGGAATTAAAGACACACACACAGAAATATAGAGTGTGGAGTGGGATCAGGGGACTGACAGCCTTCAGAGCTGAGAGCCCCAAAGAGAGATTTACCCACATATTTATTGACAGCAAGCCAGTGATAAGCATTGATTCTATAGATTATAGATTAACTAAAAGTATTCCTTATGGGAAACAGGGATGGGCTGAAACAAAGGGATGGGCTCTGGCTAGTTATCTGCAGCGGGAACATGTCCTTAAGGCACAGATCACTCATGCTATTTTTTTGTGGTTTAGGAACGCCTTTAAGCAGTTTTCCGCCCTGGGTGGGCCAGGTGTTCCTTGCCCTCATTCCAGTAAATCCACAACCTTCAGCGTGGGCATCATGGCCATCACGAACATGTCACGGTGCTGCTGAGATTTTGTTTATGACCAGTTTTGGGGCCAGATTGGGGGCCTGTGCCTGACACTAAACAGAGACCTCCCCCTTCTTTCTCTTACTCCTGCTCTCACCATGTGATGCACCTGCTCCCCCTTTGCCTTCCACCATAATTGGAAGCTTCCTGAGGCCTTCACCAGGAGCAAATGCTGGAGCCATGATTGGAAAGCCTGCAGAACCATGAGCGAACTAAACCTCTTTTATTTATTACTTACCCAGCCTTAGGTATTTCTTCATAGCTATGCAAGAATGGACTAATACAGTAGTCATCAAAGTAAAGGTGAGATTTGAGTTGACTATTGAAAGGGGAGGAAGGAATAACATAAATTGTGTCACAGACAAGGATTGGTTGGTAGGACACGGAGTAGTGACAATCCTGACATGCCCATGTTTTATGCTTCGATTTGGGACCTTAAAGTATTCAGCCCTACTCTAGCAAAAATGGCCGCATACAGGAAAAAGAGATCATTCTGTTTGACATTTTGTATCTAGAGAGATTTAGCTCTGTTGCTTGTTTTACTGACTTGTAAGTACACTCATTTTGTTCTCACAGTATTTTCTTAGCTTTTACATTCTGGCTACTCCTATTTCCACCTGAACAAATGAGAAATTTAGTTGCTACCAATGTCTAGCCTTAGTACTGCTCTGTTCTCAGGGTTCAGTGTTTCCTTCAAACAATGTGTTAGGTAATAATCAGGTCTGATACATGCAGCATCTGTGAACTCCTTACTTGATGCTGTTTGTTTTTAATAAATATGGTGTCACAGGTCATAGGTGGGGATATTTTAATAAGTGACACTAGGATGGAGTACTTACTGACTGCTAGGCGCAGTGTGCCTTCTATATGTGATCTGCTTTTTCCCTTTTACGAACACGATGAGGAGGGTGTTTGAATTGCCATTTTTGTATATGTAAATAGAGGCTCAGAGAGTTAAAAAGCTTGTCCAAAGTATTCACCTAGGACTGTGCTGATTAAGAATCTTAGCACTAACCTAATTTTTATCTGGAATGCTGGATACAATTGAAAGTTTATAGTTGAGGATAGGAAGGACCAAAGATTGGAGTCTTATCCCAGATCATTAACACCAGTTAGGTCATGCATCCTTCCTTACCTGCTTTGTATAAAAAATAAAATAAAATTTAAAAGTGACACTAGAACAACGTTTGTCTTGTTAATGTCTGTAAGATGGTTTCCAAAACGATGAGTCTGGGGACTTAATAAAGCAATTTAGAAGCTTTTGCAGTAGCAGTAACAGGAGGTGGGTGTACATCAGTGGGAAAGAAAGATGTGGATGGCTGAGGGAAGAAAATAAAGAAAAACGGATACAAGATAGAGATGATTGAATTAGGCTTGAATTACTCAAGGGATGGGCAAGAGAAGGTAGACAAGGCTGAGATTTTTGCCTCTAAATCCACAAAGTTCATGCACTCTGAATGAGATTTGGAGCATTTTAAAACCTTTTAAGTTTTCTATTGAACATTTTTATCCTCCAAATCATTTTCTTCCAGTGTGCTAAGATTATAGCCTTTAGCTAATGGTTTTCTCTCTCAGTTATGCTCCTACCATTTATAAGCATTAATTTTGCTGAACTGATATAGTAAAAATGTTCAAAATAACATTTGGCAGAGCATTTTACTCTGACTACTCAAGAATAACCTATAATCTTTTCTTTTTATACTACATACACACACACCACACACACACACTCATATACACACTTACACCTGTTTTTCCAGGATTTACGTCTTTACCTAAAATTGTATAAATTTTTCCATAGTCGAGATGTATAATTTAACCTTCCCTTTCCCAAGGGATGACATGTAGCCATTTATTTCAATAAGAAACTCCAAGAGCACTAGTATTCACAAGCCAAATACAGATAACACCAAAATTTTTGCTAAATAAAGGTGATGCATCCATTAGCAAATGTTGTTGCTTTTAAAGTGATGGTTTATATTTAAAATCCAGTTTAAGTTAAAGTTAGGATATACTGATGGTTTGCACATGATGAGTGGCAGAATAAATGAGTCAAAGTTAACTCAGAGGGGCTTTGTTTATTTTTTTGTTGTTGTTATTTTGCTTTTCCTGGGCATGTGGGTAAATCATCTCCCCAGATGTGATGACTGATGCTTACTGGGCAACGAAGAGAAAATGTCACATAGGCATTGGATATGTGAGTCTGGAACTCAGGGGAGAAATAGGGGCTGGAGTTAAAAAACGTAGAGCCTTTGTATTAGTTCGTTCTCACATTGCTAATAAAGACATACCTGAGACTGGGTAATTTATAAAGTAAAGAGGTTTAATGGACTCACAGTTCCACATTGCTGGGGGGCCTCAGGAAATTTACAATCATGGCCGAAGGCACCCTTCACAGGGTGGCAGGA